>NC_000015.10:22128502-22308242 GCF_000001405.40 Homo sapiens
ATCAATGTTTTACAGTTTAAGTGTACAAGTCTTTCACCTCTTTGTTTAAGTTTACTCCTAAATATTTTATTTTTTGGTTCTAATGGAAATGAGATTAATTTCTTAATTTCCCTTTTAGATAGTTCTTTTTTATTGTATAGAATTGAAATGATTTGTTTCTTTTGTAGATTTTTAAATTTATAAATATTTAATTGACACATAAAGATCAAATATATTCAAGGTATATGAAATGATAATTTGATATACATATACATTGTATAATGATTACCACAATCAAATTAACACATTAATCACCATCCATGTTGTACATTAGTTACCAAGAATGTGTTTATCTTAGGGCTGAAAGTTTGTACCATTTGACCAACATATTCCCCTTTTCTCTGACTTCAAAACCCTCTGACAACCACTGTTCTACTCTCTCCTTCAATGAGCTTTTTTTTTTTTTTTTCAGATTCTACATGTAAGTGAGATCATATAGTGTCTGTCTTTCTGTGTCTGGCTTATTTCACCTACCGTAATGTCTATTAGGTTTATCTATGTTGCTGCAAAGGGCAAAACTTCCTTCTTTCTTTGGCTGGATGATAATCTATCACATATATGTACCACAATTTTTATACTCATTCATCAATTGATGTACACTTGGGTTGTTTCCATATTTTGGCTATAGTGAATGATGCTGCAGTGAACATAGCAGTATAGTTATCTTTTAGAGATACTTATTTCATTTCCTTTGGGTATATATCTAGAAGTGAGATTGCTGGAACATATGGAAGTTTTATTTTTTATTTTTTGAAGAACATCTATATTGTTTTCCATAATGCCTGTGCCAATTTACATTCCCATCAATAGTGTGAAAGGGTTCCCTTTTCTCCACATCCTTACCAACACTTGTTATCATGTGTCTTCTCATAATGGCCATTACAGTAGGTATGAGGTGATGTTTCATTGCGGTTTTAATTTCATTTTCCCAATGGTTGATGATGTTGAGCACCTTTTCATATACATGTTGGCTATTTCTATGTCTGTTTTGGGAATATGTCTGTTAAAATCTTTGCCAATTGTAAAAATCAGGTTGTTTGTTGTTTTACTGTTGACTTGCGTACTTCCTAATATATTATGAGTATTAACCCCTTATCATACATATGGTTTACTAATATTTTCTCCCATTCGATAGGTTACCTTTTAATTTGGTCAATTGTTTCTTTTGTGGCGCAGTGGAATTTTTAGTTGATATAGTCCCACTTGTTTATTTTTTGTTGCCTGTGCTTTTGTGGTCATATCCAAAAAATGATTGCCAAGACTGTTGTCAAGGTGTTTTTTCCTTATGTTTTCTTCTGGTAGTTTTACAGTTTCAGGTTTTACATTTAAATCTTTAATTCATTTCCAGTTAGTTTTAGTATATGTCATAAGACAAGACTTCAGTTTCTTTCTTTTGCATGTGGATATTTAGCTTTTACAACAGCATTTATTAAATAGACTTTTCTTTTCCCATTGTGTATTATTGGCACCCTTGTCAAATCTTAGTTGGCCATATATGTGTGAATTTATTTTTGGGCTCCCTACTGTGTTCCATTGTTATGTGTCATGTTTTTATAGTACCATACTGTTTTAATTAATATGGCTTTGTAGTAGAGTTTGAAGCAGTGAGTGTGATGCTTCCAGCTTTGTTCCTTTTTCTCAAAATTACTTTGGCTATTTAGAGTCTTGTACAAGTACATACAAATTTGGTTTTGTTTTTTCCATTTCTATGATGAATGCCATCGGAATTTTAATAGGGACTTGATAGAATCTGTAGGTAATTTAATTATTTTAGATATTTTAACAATATTAATTTTTTAAAATTAATGTACATAGGTATATTTACTTTTAATTCTCTTTTTCCATTTATTTCATCAATGTATTATAGTTTTCAGTGTACAGAGATTAAACCTCCTGGTTGAATTTATTCCTAAGTATTTTGTTTTAATTTTTTATAGTTATAAATGGGATTGTTTTCTTGACTTCCTTTTCAGATAATTCATTGTTACTGTTCAGAGATACCACTAGTTTTTGTATGTTCATTTTTTAATCTGCAGCTTTATGAACTCACTTATTCTAGAAGGTTTTTTTGAGGACATCTTTAGGATTTTCTCGATATAAGATCACGTCATCTGCAAACAGACAATTTTACTTCTTCTTTTGCAATTTGGTTGCCTTTTATTTCTTACCTACTTACTCTAGCTAGTACTTTCAGTAATATATTGAGTAGACTCGGTGAGAGTGGGCATCCTTATTTTCTTTCTGATCTTAGAAGGAAAGCTTTCAATTTTTCACCATTGAATATGATGTTAGCTGTGCGATTGTAATATGTGGCATTTATCACTGTGGTAGGTTCCTTCTAAGCATAATTTGTTGGAAGTTTTTATGATGAAGGATGTTGAATTTTGTCAATGCCTTTTCTGCATCTATTGAGGTAACCATATGGTTTTTGCCTTTCATTCTGCCAATGTGGTATATCACATTTATTGATTTGCATATGTTCAAATATCACTGTGCTTGCTAACCATGAATTATCCTTTTAATGTGCTGCCAGATTTAATGTGTTAGTATTCTGGCATTTATGTTCATCAGAGACACTGGATTGAACTTTTCTTTTAGTATCCACCTGTGGCTTAGGTATCAGAGTAATGCAGGCCTTCTAAAATGAGTATGCCTATTCAATTTCAATAAATTGGTATTAGTTCTTTTTCAAATGTTTGGTAAAATTTAAAACAGAATCCATTAGGTCCTGGGCTTTTCTTTGCTGTGAGATTTTTGAAACTATTGATTCAATTTTATTCCTTATTGATCGGTTAAGATTTTTTATTTCCTCTTAATTTAATTTTGACAAATTGTGTCCAGAAATTTATCTATTTCTTCAAGGTTATTCAATTTGTTGTAGTATAGTTGTTAAAACTTACACAAATTAAGTTTTTTCTATAATTTTTGACATATTTATAATATCATGTATTCATTTCTACAGCATTAGAAAGAATAATTTCTTCACCCTAAATTGTTCTTCAACTTAAATTATTCCACTCTTCTTTCTTCTCCTTGTACTCTTGGTAACCACCAGTCTTTTACTGTCTCTATAGTTTTAATTTTTCTAGAATGTCATACAATTGGAGTCATACAGTATATAACCTTTCAAAACTGGCTTCTTTCAGCTAGCATTATGCATTTAAGATTCATTCATGCTTTTTTATGGCTTGGTAGTTAATGACCTTTTTATTGCTGAATAACATTCTATTGTAAATATAGCACAGTTTGTTTATTCATACACTCGTTGAAGAACATTGTGATTGTCTCCAATTTTTGGCTGTTAGGGAATGAAGTTGCTGTAAACATTCATGACTGGGTTTTTGTGTACACATGTTTCAAATCAGTTGGGTAAGTGCCTGGGAGTGTGATCATATGGTAAGGCTATGCTCAGCTTTGTAAGAAACTTCCAATTTGGTCAAGATGTCTGACTAGTTGCAGACAGATAGAACAGCTGTCACTGTGGGACTGGGATGACTGGCACAGTCCTAACAGGTCCTCAAGACACAAAAGCTGGGCAGAAGCTGGGTGGGGCTACCGTGCAATGGGACTCGTTCCTCACCCCCAAGAACTTTGGGGGAATGGGTGAGTTGAACTGGCAAGAAGCAACCTACTCTTGCCACAAGCCTCTGGAATCCCACCGGGAGGAGACCCCTCAACCACTACAGACACAGAGTTGGCAGGGGAAGTGCTTAGAGGAGTGGTAGGAGCAGCATGGTAGCCGATATGGAGCCCAGAGGGTTTGTTGCAGGAACATCTATAGCAGAGCACGGCCAGGGATACCCATCTCTCCAGACTTGACTTGCCTCCATAGGAGACTTTAGCCCTAGGGGAACTGTCAGATATGAATTCTGCAGGGCAGTCTTCCCATCAGATGGGGCAGATCCAACCTTAGTACCCCCTGGTCTGCTGACCTCTCCCAGTGCTCCAGCCTGGTTTTTTTCTGCTTGCAGTACAGACTCAGGTTCCCTGGGGACCCGCATCTTAGCTTCTGCAATGGCAGACCATATCTAATTGGTGGAGAGCTCCAGCGGGGTGGCCCCTAGGGCCATGCACCAACCTGCCTGCTCCCTCCCTCTGCTGCAGCTTCTTCCAAGCCCATGGCCAACCACCCCTGCCCCCTGACATCATTTGGCTGGCTTGTATGTGTGCAGGTGGATTTTCCCTTCCCTTCACCACCAGCTTGTGTGAGCACGTGTACGCTGCCCTGCCTCTGCTGCCAGCAGGAGTGCACTCTGCTCCCCTTCCTCGGCCATACTACCATTGCAGTCAGAGCTGTAGTGGGCACAGAGCCCACCAGTCCTGCCTCTGTCAGTGACCTGCCCCTGTGCCAACACTGCCACCAGAATGAAACTAGGCACTGAAAACAATGAACCCTCCCCTGCCCTGAGTAGCCACAGAGGGTGCACACACACCTGAACCCACCAGTGTCCTGCCCCCATACTAACACCACCATCAGTGCACCAATGCACACAGTCACCAATGGGGGCCTGCTGACCCCCCAAGTTATGCTGACTCTACCCCTGCTGTCAATGCCTTCATGGAGGCAGGCATCTCAGCACCTGCTAGCAGTCTGCTGCAGCTGACAAGCATGCATCCTGATTTAATACTGCTGGTTCTGGTGCTGCTGAGGGCACCTGTGAATGAGGACAGACCCCCCCCCCCTACTGCCACCACACTACAAAACCCTTTGACTAGCACCATTCCATCAACGTGTAGTGACCAGCAGTCCAGGAGCACCTTAGCACCCCCATCACAGTCTGTTCATAATCTTGAGAAGTCAGAGAACAAAGTAGGGTAGGATATAAGTCCCCCAGAATTAAAACATGCAGCTGGGGAGATGACAGCTGAACCTTGGTCCCCAAAATCTTCCAGAAATAAAGCCAGTTGACTGAACCCACTTTATAACACAATCAAACTCTCAAAGTCATCTAATAAGATAAAAAAAAAATCCAAAGGACAAGAACTTCAAAGATTGAAAAAACACTAGCCCACAAAAATGAGAAAAAAACAGTGCAAGAACTCTGACAAGTCAAAAAGCCAGCATGCTGTCTTTCCTCCGAATGCCTCCACCAGCTCTCCACCAAAAGTTTTTAACTGAACTGGGTTGGCTGAAGTGACACAAATAGAATTTGGAGTATGGATAGAAATGAAGAGCAACAAGGTACAGGAGTATGTTGAAACCCAATCCAAGGAAGCTAAGAATCACAATAAAACAATGCAGGAGCTGACAGACAAAATAGACAGTATAGAAAAGAACATAACTGACCTGATAGAACTGAAAAACACACTGCAAAAATTTCATGATGCAATCACAACTATTAACAGCAGAATAGACCAAGCAGAAGAAATGATATTAGTGCTTTAAGACTGGCATTCTGAAACAAGACAGGCAGACAAGAATAGAGAAAAAAGAATGAAAAGGAAGAAACAAAACCTCTGATAAATATGTTTATGTAAAGAGAACAAATCTATGATTCACTGGTGTCCCTGAAGGAGATGGGGAGAATGGCAGCAACTTGGAAAACATATTCCAGGATATCATTCATGAGAACTTCCTCAACCTAGCTAGAGAGGCTAACATTCAAATTCAGAAAATACAAAAACCCATTTAAGGTACTTCACAGGAAGATCACCTCCAGGACACATAATTATCAGATTTTCCAAGGTTGAAATGAAAGAAAAAAATGCAAAAGGCAGCCAGAGAGAAAGGTCAGGTCACCTACAAAGGGAAGCCCATAAGACTAAGCAGACCTCTCAACAAAAACTCTACAAACCAGAAGAGGTTGGGGGCCAATATTCAAGATTCTTAAAGAAAAGAAATTCCAAACTAGAATTTTACATCTAGCCAAACTATGCTTCATAAGTGAAGGAGAAATAAGATCCTTTTCAGACAAGCAAATGCTGAGGGAATTTGTTACTACCAGACTGACCTGCCTTACAAGAGCTCCTGAAGGAAGCACTAAATAAGAAAAGGAAATATCATTACCAACCACTTCAAAAATACACTGAAGTACATAGACCAATGACACTAGAAAGCAGCCACACAAACAAGTATGTATGGTAACCAACTAACAGCATGATGACAGGATCAAATCTACACATATCAATACTAACTTTGAATGTAAAAGGGGTAAATGCCCCAATTAAAAGGCACAGAGTGATAAGCTGGATAAAAAAGCAAGACCCAATGGTATGCTGTCTCAAGAGACATGCAGTGACACGCATAGGCTCACATGCAATGACACGCATAGGCTCACATGCAATGACACACATAGGCTCACATGCAATGACACCCATAGGCTCATATGCAATGACACCCATAGCCTCAAAATAAAGGGATGGAGGAAAATCTACTAAGTAAATAGAAAACATAAAAAATACAGAGATTGTAATCCTAATTTCAGACAAAACAGACTTTAAACCAACAAAGATAAAAAAAGACAAAAAAGGGTAATGACATAATGGCAAAGGGTTCAATTCAACAAGTAGTGCTAACTATCCTAAATATACGCGCACTTAACACAGGAGCACCCTGTTCAAACAAATTCTTAGAAACCTACAAAGAGACTTAGACTCACACACAATAATAATGAGAGACTTCAACACCCTACTGACAGTATTAGACACATCACTTAGGCAGAAAATTAGCAAAGATATTCAGGACCTTAACTCAGCACTGGATCAAATGGACCTGATAGATGTTTACAGAACTCTCCACCAAAAAGCAACAGAATATACATTCTTCTCATCACCCCATGGCACATATTCTGAAACTGTTTCATGGAGGAAACTGTTTCATGGAGAGGAAGCCACAGGGCTGACAGGAAACCAGACCTTAACCTCCCTCTGCACCTGCCCTGAGGCTGGCTCTTGTGCTCAGTGGGTCCTGAGTGTCCCCAGGTGGTCCTGTTCCCTCTTCAGGGAGGCTTGTTTCTGGGCTCATACTGACATTTTTTCTAATTGTGTTCCCCAAAATGGAGACAGAGTAAACCGTGAATCCATGCATCTCAGAGAACACAGAACAGCAGAATTACACCCACTGATCCCCCCACACACATTTAGGTAAATCTTATTAAAACTGCTGAAAAGGAAAGACAAATAGAAATATATGCAGGCAAGTGGAGGTGAGCAGAGGGGGCATTCCTTCCAAAAGAACAGAAAAGATGATGACAGCATTCTTCTGGTTAAAACCTTACAAGCAAGAGGAAAGTTGATGGTATCTGTAAAGTGTTGGATGAAAAGTCAACCCATTATTTTATAACGCATGGGTGTTCTCTAAAAAGTGAAAAAAAATTCTATTTCTCTTCGACAGCATGAGGGTTTCAGTGAATCCAGGCCCTCATGAGACCAGTGAAAATTATTTTGAAAAATTACAGGGTTTGGAAAGGCTCTAACAGCATAAAGCAAGTGAAGAAATATTTATTCAAGAAAATCTAGAAAACTCGGTAAGGCCAGTCATCATGCTTGATCTAAGATGATCTTCCTTCCTTCCACATCCCAGCTCAGCATGATGTAAACTCCACTGCCGACAGATGCAGCCAAGAAGACAGGACACCTTCTACCAACTCCCACCAGAGGAAACTCTTCCCCAGGGCCCAGTACGTTGGCCCTCTGACCCTGCACACAGCACATGATGCTGAGGTTCAGTGCTGAACAAGAGCTACCGAGAGCCAGAGACTCACTTCTTCCATGGAGCCCCACTCATGGATGGAGGCTCTGCCCCGGGTCCAGTGCCACTGGGAACACTGGGTCTCTGGTTTCTAGCTCTGTCCTATGGCAGAGGTTCCACCCCACAATAACCGAAGTGCTGAGAAGGTGGGAAGCTCCTGCCCGACCCTCCACTGAGAGCTCAGCTCCTAGGCTGAGGAATAAAACAGCTCAACTTTGTCTACACCTGCAGAACCTTGTTTAGGAGCTCTGTCCCAGGAGAGAGGGAGCAATGGAATTCAGTCATAAAATATGATCCTTAATTAGTCCTAAAAATCCTAACTTCAGTAACAACAGAATGTGGACAAATTGAAAGCCTGCCAGTGCTCTCAAAAACAGTGGATGGTGTGGTGGAAAGCCCTTGGAAGGAGATGGGTGGATGCATGGGAGATGCAGGCTACACTGCAGGGCTGCTGGCTTGCAGGAGAGAACCGAGAATGAGGGAGAGCTGGGGAAAGTTCTCTTGTGGTTGAAACAAATGCCAGACACTCTTCAATGGAGCCCATGTTTGTTTGGTTCAGTCTGTGAAGTAATTCAAACCTCAGTGCATGATTGAAAATAGTACAATTTTCCATCTGCAAGTGGCAGCCCTGGATGACTGGATGGTCTATAATTGGGACACGTATCTAGACTCAACGATGCCTGGATGGAAAATGTGCAGGCTGCTCCACTGATGTCAGCTGTTTCATCACAGTTTTATGATTTAATAAAAGTCATATTTTTTTTCATTTTTGCACATCAAATTTTTTTCTGTGATCCATATTCCTAAGCCCATCTTTGAGCTCACAGCCCTTTCCCAAGAAATCAACATCTAGACCTCCCTCTTCTCGGGGCTCCGAGGTGATTCCTGAGTGGCATCCTCTCCACCTCCCTGCTGGGAACAGAGCCAGTTGCAGGGCTCACGGGCAGCCTTAGAATGTCTGCTCCTCCGGGGTGTCCCCCTGCTTCTCACTGGAGAAGAGGCCTCTGGGGTGGTCACAGCCTCTTTCTCCACATGAACCCTGAGAGTTCTTCCTGAGCTACACAGCTGGGGGAAGACTGCCCTAAGAGACGTGAAAAGAGAGACATGGGAAGTGAGGTGTCTCAGCTCTTGTCTCCCCTGGGTGGTGTGGCCTGACCTCACCAGAGCCCCAGCCTAACCCACCTGACCTGTCCCCAGGAGCTGTACTGAGCGATGGCTGCACCTGCTCAGTTACCTGTGGGGCCCAGTGCCTCTGAGAGAGGTGCCCAGTGAGGGCTCTGCAGGGCTCCCCCCGAGCAGGAGCTGGGCTGAGGGAAATCAGCAGGAGGTAGGGGCTGCCCAGGCCCTGGGGAGGCAGGCAGCGTGGAGAGGACACAGAGGTGCACTGGGAGGGCGCAAGCCAGTCAGGACCACCCTCTCAGCTCTGAGAAATGAGCTATGCTCACGGAATGCTCACAGTCAAATCCTGCTGGGAGGGCCATCCTCTGCTCGGGTTCTCTACTGTCCAGGGCAGGAATGACTCATGTGGCCATTCAGAGGCGAGGCCCCACCAGGAAGCATCCACTGACTGCCCAAGGCTGTGCATCCCCATAGCGCTGAGCTCATGTCCCTGACCTGTGGCCTCTGGGCCCACACTCTGCTCAAAGTTCCCTCAGGGGGATGAAGGGAGAGGCGGGCCCTAGGGCAAGGGTGCCCAGGAGGAGAGAAGGAAAAGGCAAGCATGTCTTCATCAGTGGGGTTTTCTCCTGAGAGCAGAATTCATTTCCACACCTTCCAAGTTCCCTCTTGTGGCTGGCACTTCTCTGACCTGGAGCCCCAGATGGCGGGGCACTCAGAAGAGGGAGGGTCATTCCTGGGAGCAGATAAGGCCTCCTCCTTCTCCAGCTCCTGAATCAGAAACTGAGGCCTCCCCTGGACCTTCCCTGCTTATGACTGGGGCCTCCCACGTGCAAAGCACACCTTCATCTTGCACTGAAGTCTCAGGACCTGGAGAGCACCTCCACACGGGGGGCTGGATCCTCCTGGAACTGTAAGCCTTGCCCAGAAAGCCCTGAAGGGGAGCAGGGAGGCGGCAGCAGCACAGCCTTCTTCAGCTTCCAGGGGAAGGGATGAGGGAGGCGGGTGGACGAGCTTCCAACCGGCATGGCATGGGATGCTGAAAAACGCGATGGGCTCTGGCCTATTGGAGCCATCTCTCCTTGTCCTGTACCTGCCCCTTGGGGGTTTAGGGCAGAGGAAATGTTGGCTTGTTGTGTGAGTCAGATAAACAGGTGGGGAGAATGGGCCCGTATGCCCTGGTTTGCACAGGAAAGGTGTGCTCACCAGCAAGTGTTTCTTCTAGAAATTAAGTAATCCTGGGACAGGCTTTTCCTCCCCAGTTCCACAAGACTCCAAGATGTCAGAGTATCATAAACACGGAGAATAAGGACACAGGATTAACCCAACCCAACCTCTGATGGTTTCATGTCATGTGAAGGAATTTTTGGAGTGTTGATGCTGAAGAGTTTACAGAGTGTGGCTACATCAGTTGCCCTAAAGGATATAGAAAACATTTTACTGTGAGAGTAGAGAGGAGGAACACAAGTAGAAGTATCAAGAGTCGCTGCCAGCCAGCCCATAAATAGGTTTCCCATTTGTATGACAGCCAAGAAACCTGGTCTGAGACAGCTGGGGTCGCAAACAATGTCTTGGTGCAGTTATAAATTTCTTTATGCATGTATTTTTCTAACAATAATATTTTGGTGTCTTTCTTGGGTCAAGGTGGCAGGTCCTCTAGTCACATTGTTGGAGTGCATGGATGGATGGGTTAGTAAATTATTTCTCAAGATTAGTGGTAATCAAAAGGTGGAAGTGTTGGTGGTGGTCGTAGTTCAGAGATGCGGGTTGGGAGTGGGAAAAGTTACTGGGGAGTGGGTGGTTCTCTCCTCATGGTGTCAAAGGGTTGATGGATATGAGGCAGGTTCCTTTGTGTGCAGCAATGACCTCTGCTGATTTTCAGACTGACAGAGATGGTAGTAACCACTATCAGATTTCTCTGTATGAACAGAAATGTAGTGTAGCATGTTGTGGCAAACAGCAAGGAGTGCACTGGGATCCTGGACCAAATGGACAGCAAGCTCAGGGAGCACAATAGGATCCCTAGTATCCAAGGGACAAAAGCAAGGCATGTCCAATGCCTTATTGTTTCATTGAGAGACTTCCCAGGCCATGACTGGTGTTAAGGTTTAGGGCACAACTGTCTCCAGCTCGCCGGGGAAAAGCCAAAGCCACCTCCAGCTTTGAGCCCTGGGCCAGGCCGATGTGCTCTAGGATGGGGTACTAGGGTGTCCTTTCCAGGTGGGCATGTGCTCAAGCGGACTGACTGGCTATCAGCACTTGCCGTGTTTGGTTGAAGTGATGGCCTATTTGGAGGTTTCTGCCCTTTGGATTATAACAAATAAGTCCACAATACAAGCAGCCACATGGACAATGGTGAGACCAGCAGTCAACAGAGGGGTGCTTGGCTGCAGTTGGCAGGTGTTGATGTTGTTTTCATTTGTTTTTTGAGTTTGTTTTTGTGGAACTTTACGTTCAAATGGGCTCATATCAGATGAGCAGCCGACTGACCCACGGGACCCTCTATGGCTAATCATCCGAGGAGAGTTTTTACCCTCAATAGGTTCTCCAGCCCTTATGAGATAAGAGCAACATCAAACATTTGTAAAGATATGGAAATAATATTTTAAATAGCCTCAATAATGCAATGAATATAAGCCTATAAGTATCTCAAAGGGTGATGGAGAAGTCCTGAAAGCTGGGATGAGGGCGACTCAGCTAAGAGCCTTGAATTTAGGGAGAGTTAGTTCTACAGAAGTTGGAGATCCATTGGGTGTCCATTTACTGGAGTGGAATTTGAAGGAATTGTTTGAGGAGATCAGTATGTCTCTGAGTTAAACCAGCCCATAATTAAGTTCTATTGAATGGGGCCTAAGAGGCATGAAGTTCTATCAAGTGGCTTTTTCTGTATCCAGCATTGTGTGTTTTGAAAAGTAAAATGTGTGACTTGGTTACTGTCAGCAAAGTATGCAATTTTGAAGGACATTAGTGTCCCACCAAAGCCTCGTATTGTGAACTTATTATGTGCAGAGATATGAGCCACTTGATTTATATTTTCAGTGTCTGGGAGGCAAGAGACTTTCAGATTTCCTTACCCTGAAGACAGCTCTTAAACAACGTCTGAGCTGTTTATAATAAATGTGGAAATGGAGCCATTGGTTCGATAGGGCACCCAATGCTGGTGTGACTGCCTGATGTCTGCCTAATTTTGGGGATCCCCAGCCCCATCCTTTGTTGGGACATATGGCCAAGAGAGGGAGAGCAGAAGCATGCCCCAAGCCCCATCACTTGTCATCCTTGCAGCCCGCAAATGCCAGTCACTGTCCACTCAGTGAGTCCCAGCGTTCTTCCCATGTGGCCGAGAGGTGGCCTCCTCCAGCACTTGGGCACCTGCCAGGTGACTGTGGATATAGGAAGCCAGTCCTGCTGCAAGCAGAAATGACAGAGGGCCTGGGTGTTGCTTTATCCTGTCTTAAGAAGGCCTCTGGAGCCATGCTAAGTGTGTGGGGTGCTGTTCCCGTGACCCCAAACACAATAGTTAGCTGGATGTGTCCAAATAGTCCAGGTTGTAGACAGCAATGTTCAGTTGAATGATTTATAGTCCAAGGCCAAAGGGAGCAGTTACTTGCCTTGGAAACTGTCGAGCATCTTAAGGCCACATTGATCGCCCAGAGACACCAGGAGGCATGAGAAGGGTTTGCCAAGTTTCTTTAGTGAAGGAGTTTCTGAGGATACTAACAGAAGAGCCTGTTGATTTTAAATTAGGCACACTGTTGAGCCTTTTGTTGAAGGAAATTTCATTTAGGGGAGGTGATTTATAAGTAGCAACAACAGCGAGGCTAGTTGAAATTTATGGGTGAGGAATATGTTGCACCAGAACCCACAAGGAACAGCAGGATGTGGCATTTGTATGTCCTTAATGAAAGTATGGGGAGCATCTCCTCAGAGGAGGTGTCAGCAGTGCTGCGGAGGAAGGCAGATGCAGTGAGGAGCCAGCCTGCGAAGCTCTCATGTGGTGGCCACGCCGCTGAGGTGCCCGCGTATCCTGAGAAGGGTGTCCTTCCCAGGCAAAGACAATCTGCAGCTAAGGGGCTGCTGAGATGGGCGCTGAGTACAACCAATTAGACACATCTGGAAGAGCAAAGTCTGCACTGGCTGTTGGTTAAAGCCAGTCGTTTTGAGAACATTGGGAGTATGGGGCCCTAATGGGTGGGGCCACGGCATGAAAGTTGTGACAATCCAACATAGGGCAACCTTCATGCTATTGTCTTTTCTTCTTCACCGGTTTAAGAACAGGCAAGATTTGGCTGTGAAATAGAGAAGCAATGGGAAAAATCACCTCTTTATTGATTAGATTTGTATAATAGTTTTTAATCTTCGAAGGTCCATTTTCACTTCTGTTGGAATATATTAACTACATAAACTGGAACTCTTTGAGTTCCATTTTATCAAGCCAATGCACAAGTGCCAAACACCTCATTCCATTTTAATTTAATTCATTGTGTCAGAGTGTATGCCCAATATGAGATATTTTAGGACAAAGGACATTATGATCATGTGAAATCTAGGCAAGGCAACCGCTAAAGTGCGGTGTGTCTATTTCTTCTTCCAAATATATTGATTTCTATTTAATTATCTTAAGTTCACATGGGATACATGTTTAAATCTTGAAATCTAATGAATTTCCTAGGTATAGCTATTATTGGAGCCCTGGTATTGATCACAAAGTTTGCCAATTGGTGCAATCCCAAAAATGCTAAAGTGAAATTACAATGGACCAGTATACAGTTCCAAGGTCAGAGTCTGGAAGGCGTTTCACAGAACTAAAGACTTGAGCACCAGCCATGCTGCTTCCTTCTAGAGTTATCTGGGAGAATCTATCTCTTGCCTTTGCCAGCTCCTAGGGGCGCCTGCGTTCCCCGGCTGGTGGCTGTGTGACTGACCTCCGCTTCCATCCCACACCTCCCCAGTCTTGGACTCTGCTGCTCCTCTTTCTCCTCATCAGGACCCCAGGGCATATGGCATGCACAGGCCAGGGTGACTGTAACATCCAAGGGCCTCTATCACGTCAGCCCAGTCCCTTTGGCCCTGCAGGTGATGTCTTTGTAGAGCCCCAGGACTATGGCATGGGCATCTTTGGGGGGCATTCTTCTGCCTGCTGCAGGATCTAGATTCCCCTCTCTAGAACCTGTAGTGTAGAGGGGCACGAAGCCAACCAGCTTCATTTTCAATTTTTGTCTTAGAAGTTATTTCAGTACAGAATTTTGTATATAAACTTTGGATTTCTAATTGGTCAAATGATGGACATTTATTTAAATTTAGTTATATATATACATTATATATACCAAAGTGATATATAATTATATAAATAATTATAATACTGTTATAATTATATAAATAATTATAATACTGTTATAATTATATAAATAATTATAATACTGTCATAATTATATTAGAAATATACTATTATAATTTTATAATAATTACATTTATATAAAATATCTATATGTAGTTTCATGATTATTTAGTTCCTTTTCATTTTTGGAACCTATGCTAATATTTCCCCTCTATTGCTCCTCTTTCCCTAAGGTCTCGAGTTCCTCTGAGCCTGATGATGAGCCAGGACAGGAAGGGGCCTGGGCCTCCAGGCAGCAGCATCTCTCCAGGATGCCCCCAGCCACAGCATAAGGAATTCCTACACTTTTGTTATCTTAAACAAAACCTTCTAGAATTCCTTCTAACTCTAGGAGACTGAAATGTATTTTTCTTTCTTTCAACTGTCTCCTGTCTGTCCCTGACTCCCTCACTCCGTTTTTTAATGTTTGGCCATTTATCTCATGAGCTTACTAAAAATAAATTGTATACTCAGCAATGGATAACATAGAAGAAATGGATAAATTCCTAGATATGTACAATCTTCCAAGATTGAATCTTGAAAAAGTAGAAACAGAACTATTACTAGTAAAAGACTGAATCAGTAATCGAAAGCGAGCTTGGAACCACTTCCAAAAGTTTTTTTGTTTGTTTGTTTGTTTGTTTTTTGAGATGGAGTCTCGCTCTGTTGCCCAGGCTGGAGTGCATGGCATGATCTCTGCTCACTGCAAGCTCCACCTCTCAGGTTCACGCCATTCTCCTGCCTCAGCCTCCTGAGTAGCTGGGATGACAGGTGCCCACCACCATGCCCGGCTAATTTTTTGTATTTTTAGTAGAGATGGGGTTTCACCTTGTTAGCCAGGATGGTCTCGATCTCCAGACCTTGTGATCCACCCATCTCGACCTCCCAAAAGTTTTAAGATGAAGAAATACTTCTAAACTTATTTTATAAAGTCAGCATTGCCCTGAAATCAAAACCAGGCAAACACCAAATTAACATAAATTACAGACCACTCTTACTGAAACACAAAGATGCAAAAAGTACTCAACAAAATATTGGCAAATCAAACTGAACAGCACATTACAAGGATCATTTGCCATGATCCAGTGGAATGTCTCTCTGGAATATTGGGATGGTGCAACATCTAAACATCACTGAATCTGATGGACCACATTAACATAATGAAAGACTAAAATATTATCTCATCAGATGCATAAAAATCATTTGACAAATTTCAACATCTTTCCATGATAAAACCTCTTAACAAACTACAAATAAAGGGAAATTATCTGGACATATTGAAAGCCATATTTAAAAGCCCACAGTTAGCATCATAGCCAATGCTGAAACACTGAACAAGCTTCCACTTAGATGATGGAGAAGACAAGGATGCCCTATCTCACCAATTCTGTTCTACATAGTATTGTAAGTCCTAGTCAGAGAACTTAGGCAAGAAAAAGTTACTAAATCAGAAAGAGAGGAGTAAAGGTGTCACTGTTTACAGATGACATGTCTTGTATGTAGAAAATCCTAAAAATTGCCCCCCAAAATCAAAACAAAACCAAAACAAAACAGCTGTAAGTTGCTAATTTGTGTGTATAAAATTGGTGTTCTGCAAGATGAATAAGTTCTGGAGACTGGATGCACAGAATCCTGAGTCTAGATAACTTGACTGCACAGTACACTTAAAAATTTGCTGAGAGAGTGTATCTCATGGTAGGTATTCTTATCACAATACAAACTTTAAAAGTTGTATATGAGGACATTGGTACTGCTTTCATATTATTTATTATGAATGAATTTCCAAAAAAAGTGTTATCAGTAATGAGTTGAGGTAATGAGTAATTCATATACAGGAATAGCCTCAAGAGAACAAGAGGAAGAGATGCATTTAGAGTAGAAATCCTCACACTTTAGATGCATTTTAAATGTCTGGATAATGGAGTACTTAAAAAGGGATGTGTCTGTCTCTTCCCCCAACTATTGAGAATTAGTTCCTGAGTAAATCAAAGAACATTATTTTATCCAGCCCCGGTAGGTCCTGAGGTCCTTGTCTCTGGCATCACAGAATGGGTTAGAGTGCAGGGCTGGCGTAGAGCTCCTGAGACAGTAATGTGATGTTGTCCAAAGCTCCATGGGTGAGGAGAGCCACACCACAGGTGGGACCCAAGGAAAGAGCCCAGGAGCTGTGCTGGGCTCAGCACTGAGGAAGCAAGACCTGGGCCTGTGGATAGGGGGAGCTGCGCTAGAAACAAGGAAGGGCAGGAGGGAAGAGGGGTTGGAAGGAAAGTAGCCCTGGGATCAGAATGGCAGGGCTGTCCTTTGCCTATTCCCATTTGTCTCGCAGACCAAGTGTCCTCCAACCACCAAATGTCAAGTGACATGCGTGCCACATGAGTTTAGGAGGAAAGGCACTCTACACAACGCTCAACTACCAGGAGGTAGGGGCCATATCTTAACTTTTCTACTTATAAAAAGAGTCAGCTAGGCTGGGCACGGTGGCTCATGCCTATAATCCCAGCACTTTGGGAGGCCGAGGCAGACAGATCACATGAGGTCAGGAGTTTGAGACCAGCCTGGCTAAGTGACAAAACCCTGTCTCTACTAAAATTACAAAAATTAGTCAGGCATGCTGCTGGGCACCTGTAATCCCAGCTACTAGGGAGGCTGAGGCAGGAGAATCGCTTCAACCCGGGAGAAAGAGGTTGTAGTGAGCCGAGATTGCACCACCGCACTCCAGCCTGGGCGACAGAGCGAGACTCTGTCTCTAAATAAATAAATAAATAAATAGTCATCCACCCCGTGTAATTTTTTGTTTTAGCTCTGGGGTAAAATCCACCCCTGGGCTGTGGAAGCATCCAGTCACTTCTCAGACTGGGACGGTGTCTCTGGGGAAGACAAAGGTGGGTTCAGAAGAAGATGAGATTGCTGGGCCTTCTCCTGTGCCTGCTGACACCTCCCGAAGGTGAGCATCTCAGAGGCCAGACACGGGCTGTGGCAATAACTGTGATGTCCCATGACTGACAGGGACTGACTGTTCTTGTTCCCAGCTGTCCTGTCCCAGGTGCAGCAGCAGGAGTGAGGCTCAAGACTGGAGAAGCCGTGGCTGCCCCCTTCCTCACCTGGCACGACTCCGGATTCTCCATCACAGCCAGTGGTTACTGCGGAGGCCCGGTCCACCGGCCCCTAGACAAGGGGTTGCACTGGCTGAGGAGCATCGATTATAAGAGAAACACGAACAACCGCCGCCTCTCAAGAGCCTCATCTCCATCCAGAGACTCATCCAACAAGCAGCGCTCCCTGCGGCGGAGCTCCAGGAACCCACAGGACAGCCAGGTATTCCTGTGGGAGACACAGTGAGGGGATGCCGTGTGAACCCAGACAGGACCCTCCCTCCTGGGGGCCTGAGATGTGCAGGATGCACTCGACACTTGGGTCCACTGAAGAGCAGGCTCAGATGGGAAGTGGCGAGGACTTCTCCTTAGAATCTGAGGCTTTCTTTTCTCTAATTCTCAGATGTCCTCAGGGACATTTCATTCTCTTCTCTGTGGCTCTGATTTCCCCCTTTCTCACTGCAGGCAAAAAAGGATGAAATAACTTTCTCCACTGGCAGATAGGCTGTTTCAATTTCATAGAAACCTTCCCTTCATCCGGCTCCCACGTGGTCTGCTTTTTCCTTCATCTGCTTCCATGTGGTCTGCTTTCCTTCCTGAAAAACAGGTCATGTTCAGGATTCACACTTGCTCGAGAAATTCTTCCCTCAAACTCCAGTTCAGACCAGGCACACCCTCTCCCACATCTGTCCCCACGTGGACCCTTCCATGAGATGACCCCACCTGTCCCCAGGTGGACCCTTCCCTCAGACGAGCACACCTGTCCCCAGGTGGACCCTTCCCTCAAACAAGCACACCTGTCCCCACGTGGACCCTTCTCTGAGAGGAGCACACCTGTCCCCACGTGGATCCTTCCTTCAGATGAGCACATCTGTCCCCACGTGCACCCTTCCCTGAGACAAGGACACCTGTCCCCACGTGGATCCTTCCTTCAGATGAGCCCCCCTGTCCCCACGTGGACCCTTCCCTCAAATGAGTACACCTGTCCCCACGTAGACCCTTCTCTGAGAGAAGCACACATGTCCCCAAGTGGACCCTTCCCTGAGTCAAGCACACTTGTCCCCAGGTGGAACCTTCCTCCACACGAGCACACCTGTCCCCACGTGGACCCTTCCCTGAGACAAGCACACCTGTCCCCACGTGGACATTTCCCTCAGAGGGGCACACCTGTCCCCACGTGGACCCTTCCCTGAGACAAGAACACCTGTCCCCACATGGACCCTTCCCTTGGAGGAGCACACCTGTCCCCACGTGGACCCTTCCTTCAGACAAGCACACCTGTCTCCATGTGGACTCTTTGCTCAGAGGAGCACAGGTGTACCCATGTGGACCCTTCCCTGAGACAAACACACCTGTCCCCACGTGGCCCCTTCCCTGAGATGAGCTCATCTGTCCTCTTCCCCAAGGCGAGCACACCTGTCCCCACGTGGACCTTTCCCTGAGACAAGCACACCTGTCCCCACATGGACCCTTCCCTCAGAGGAGCATAACTGTCCCCATGTGGACCCTTCCTTCAGATAAACTCACCTGTCACCACGTGGACCCTTCCCTCAGAGGAGCACACCAGTCCCCATGTGGACCCATCCTTCAGACAAGCTCACCTGTCCCCATGAACCCTTCCCTGAGACAAGCACACCTGTCCCTACATGGACCCTTCTCTCGGATGAGCACACCTGTCCCCATGTGGGCCCTTCCCTGAGACTACCACACCTGTCCCCACGTGGACCCTTCCTTGAGACAAGCACACCTGTCCCCACTTCGATGCTTCTCTCAGATAAGCACAACTCGCCCCACCTGGACCCCTCCCTGAGACGAACTCACCTGTCGCTACGTGGATTCTTGCCTTAGACAAGCACCTCTGTCCCCACGTGGACCCTTCCCTGAGGGAATCACACCTGTCCCCAGGTGGACCCTTACCTCAGACAAGCATGCCTGTCCCCAGGTCAATCCTTCCCTCAAAAGAGCACACCTGTCCACGTGAGGACCCTTCCTTGAGACAAGCACTCCTGTCCCCACATGGACCCTTCCCTCAGACGAGCTCACCTGTCCCCATGTGGACCCTTCCCTGAGACAAGCACAGCTGTCTCCATGTGGAATCTTCCTTCAGACAAGCACACCTGTCCCCACATGGACCCTTCCCTCAGACGAGCTCACCTGTCCCCATGTGGACCCTTCCCTGAGACAAGCACAGCTGTCTCCATGTGGAATCTTCCTTCAGACAAGCACACCTGTCCCCACATGGACCCTTCCCTCAGATGAGCTCACCTGTCCCCATGTGGACCCTTCCCTGAGACAAGCACGCCTGTCCCCATGTAGACCCTTCCTTCAGAGGAGCTCACCTGTGCTCAGACACCACCAGGGTCCTCAGACACTAATAGGGTGGCTCAGACACTAATAGGGTGGCTCAGACTCTAAGAGGGGGGCTCAGAAACCACCAGAAGGGCTCAGACACCACCAGAGGGCGCCCAGCAACCACGGAATGCTCAGAACCTACCGGGGGCGCTCAGGACCTACAGGGGTCGCTCAAGACCTGGCTCAGGAGCAGATGCAAAGTGAAGCTGAGGTTTCCGTTTTCTCTTTGGGGATTCCTTGTCCTGCCCTGCAAAAGCCTTGCTCAGCAGCTATTATTGTTTCTTCCCTGGAATTCCCCAGTTCCTCTCATCTGAAAAGGACTTAGAGCAGAAATCCCATTTAACTTTTCACACTTCATTTTCAGTCTCCTTCTAGTGATATTTCAGTAAAATATTAATAAGAAATAATGAAGCCACAGTCCAAATGTTAGCACCATGCAAAGATTCGTGTGTCTTCTCCACTCTGTCAGTTACGCCTTAGGAAACTCTTCTCTCAATCCACTGCTCAGTGTACACTATGGCATTGTGTTTTCTTCTTTGCTTTCATCTGCTTTGCAGGGAAATGAAGCACCATTTATTGGGACGTGTCCTCCATTTCTGATGGGCTCCCCGTGGTCTCCACCTCAGATGGTTTTGCCACCATCTTTAATCCGTTAATGCCTTCAATCGCCCTCACCATCCATGTAATGAAGCAATGAATGCCTTTACTTCATCTACTTGTGTCTCCATCAGTCAGTTCACTTCTCTCCATTCTCACAAAGGACAGCCACCCACTACTTCAGAGCCTCCTGCAGCCTTGGGTGGTAAACCTATTAAAAAGCCCCTGCTGTTTAGAAAGGGTGTGTATTGGAAACTTAATCCCAAATTCCATAGTGTCCAGAGGTGAGAATGTTAAGAAATGATTAGGCCGAGAGGGCTCTGCCCTCATGAAGCAATTAATGCCATTATCATCAGAGTAGGTTACTTATTGTGGTAGCAGATTAGTTACTACAGGCCTGGGTTCCTCATTAAAAAATGAGTTTAGCCCCCTTTCCATCCTTTGCACATGCTCTCCTGCCTTCCACATGGGCATCACAGCAAGAAGGCTCTTGCCAGATGCTAGCACCTTGACATTGACTTCCCAGCCTCTAGAGCTGGGAGAAAATAAATTTCTTTTCCTTACACATTAGCCAGTGTGTGGTATTCACTCATTGCACCACAAAGTGGACTAAGACAAAAAATCAGTATCAAGAGGTGGGGCTGTTGTGATAACAAATATCCCAAAATGTAGAAGTGGAAGTAGTAATGCACAGAGACTGGAATAATTTGGAGGATCAGGTTATAAAAAGTCTAGATTGCCATGACTAGAACACTAGGGGTATTCTTTTGAGGACTCAGAAGAAGACAGCTGTGAGGAAATTCTGAAACTTCTTAGAGATTATTTAGGTGATGATCATTAGAATGTTGGTAGAACCGTGGACAATAAAGGCCGTTCTGATGAGGTCTCAGGAGAAAAAGAAGAATAGCTCATCGGAAAATGGAGCAAAGGCCATCCTTCCCTTAAAGTGGCAAGGAATGTGGCTGAATTGTGCTCATCCCTAGGTCTTTCTGTAAAGTGGAAGTTCAGAGCCATGAGTGAGGATATATGGTGGGAGAAATTTGAAGCAAATCTATGGCCTCACTTCTAGCAGGCACTTTAGGACTCTGTTCCCTGTGTCCAGGCACAGCACTCCTTGGCTGCCCATGATGTGGCTCAGGAGGACCTAGGTGTGGCTCAAGCCATCACTTTAATGGTACAAGTCATCAACTTCCATGGCATCCATGTATTGCTAATTCTGCAGGTGTGCAGAATACCACGAGGGCATGGCTTTCTCCACCTAGATTTCAAAGAATGCTGTGGACAGCCTAAGGTCTCGGGCAGTGAGTTGTTGCAGAGACAGAGTCACCACACTGGACCCTTAGCACAATGCCAAGCAGAAATATGGGTTTGGAGGCACCACAAAGAGTTTCCAGTCAGCCTAGGAGAGCTAGAGGCCTGAGAGTCCCACCTGTGAGAGGGGCTGAGTGGACTGAACCCAGAAAATCCATAGAGGCAAGACTGCTGGAGGCCTTGGGGGCCCTTCCCCCTCCCCAGTGTGCACAAGATGCCGTCAAAGAGGATGATTTTCCAGCTATAAGACTTTTTTTTTATTATACTTTAAGTTTTAGGGTGCATGTGCACAATGTGCAGGTTAGTTACATATGTATACATGTGCCATGCTGGTGTGTGCACCCATTAACTCGTCATTTAGCATTAGGTATATCTCCTAAAGCTATCCCTCCCCCCTCACCCCACCCCACAACAGTCCCCCGAGTGTGATGTTCCCTTTCCTGTGTCCATGTGTTCTCATTGTTCAGTTCCCACCTATGAGTGAGAATATGCGGTGTTTGGTTTTTTGTTCTTGCGATAGTTTACTGAGAATGATGATTTCCAATTTCATCCATGTCCCTACAAAGGACATGAACTCATCATTTTTTATGGCTGCATAGTATTCCATGGTGTATATGTGCCACATTTTCTTAATCCAGTCTATCGTTGTTGGACATTTGGATTGGTTCCAAGTCTTTGCTATTGTGAATAGTGCTGCGATAAACATATGTGTGCATGTGTCTTTATAGCAGCATGATTTATAGTCCTTTGGGTATATACCCAGTAATGGGATGGCTGGGTCAAATGGTATTTCTAGTTCTAGATCCCTGAGGAATCACCACAAGGACTTCTACAATGGTTGAACTAGTTCAAAACCCAACAAGGGAAAAAAACATTAAGTCTCAGCTATAAGACTTAATGTTTTTTTCCTCTGTTGGGTTTTGAACTAGGCACTGCTTTCTCCTTCCCTGTCTCTGAGCTTTGGAATGGGAATTTCTATCCCATACCTGCCCCATTGTTCACTGTATTTGAAAGTAGATAACTTGTTTTGACTTTATAGGCTCACAGATGGAAAAAATTTATATCAGGCTAAATTGTGCCTTGAGTCACACTCACATCTGATTTAGATGAGACTTTAGACTTCAGACTTTTGCACTGATGCTGGATAAGACTTTGGAGACAATTGGGATGGAATGAATGTAGTTTGCATTGTGATAAGGACATAAATTTTGATATTAGGAATGGAATGCTATGACTTAAATGTGTCTCCCAAAGTTTAGGATTTGGAAAAAATCTTTAATGCAACAGTGTTGAGAGGTGGGACCTTTATTATGTGATTAGGTCATGAAGGCTCTGTCCTCATGAATGGATTAATGTCACTGTCATTGGAGTGGGTTAGTTATTACAGGAGTGAATTTCTAATAAAAGATAGTCTCCTTTCTCTCGTGGACAAATGATCTCTTGCTCACCCACCTCTGCTGTGAGACGACACAGTGAGAAGGCCCTTGTGAGATGTCAGTGCCTTGATATTAGACTTCTCTGACTCAAGCACCATAAAGTATAAATTCCTTTTCTTTAGAAATTGCCCAGTCTCTGGTATTCGGTTATAGTAACACAAAGACAGACTGAGACTAAGCCATTGTAACATGTGTGAGGTGATATCTCATCGTGGTTTTAATTTGCATTTCCCTGATGATTAGTGATGTTGAGCATTTGACTCTTTATGTTAAGTGAAATAAGCCAGGTATAAAAAATTACTCCATAATCTCACTTACACATGCAATCTAAAAATGTTGAACTCAGAGAAGTAGAGAGAAGAATGGTGCCAACCAGGGGCTGGTGTCAGGGGCATGTGAAAGCTGAGGCATTGGTGAAAGGGTACAGAGTTTTGGTTTGACAGAAGGAATTAGTTTGAAGATCTATTGCACAGCAGGGTGACTTCCATGGTACTAATGTACTATATACTTGAAAACTGATAATAGAGTAGATTTTACACGTTTACACCATAAAAAATAAGTATGTGAGGTGATGGGCATGTTTATTTACTTGATTTAATAATTTCACAATGCCTGCATATGTCAAAACATCACGTCATACCACCATAATATATGAAATAGAATATGTTTTTCTAGTAAGTGTGATGCCTCTGTTTCTCTTTTTTTTTTGGAACAAAACAATAAACACCTTTATTACATGGGTGAAGACAAAACAAGGATTTATTTGCCCTTCCGGGCCTTGATTTTCCTAAGATAGAACTCCAACTCTTTGCCCTCTAGCACATACCCATCTGCTCAGCCACACTGTCCTGGCCTTGAAGCAATGCATGCAAGAAGCTTGCCCTGCTGGAACTGCTCCCCCAGGAGACTGCTGATTTTGGCATTCTTTTTCCTTTCATGATATTTCTTCTGAATTTTTTTAGATCGCTTTTTGTTCAAAATCTCTTCTTCCTCAGGAGTCAGCTTGGCTCCCTTCTTGCAGCCCAGGGGCGGCGCATAGTGGGACTCGTACCACTGTCGGTACAGTGTGCTGTCAATGAGCACAATGCAATTCTTCACCAGGGTCTTGGGACGAACCAGCTCGTTATTAGATGCATTGTAGACAACATCGATGATCGTTGTTTTATGAGCACAACATTCTGAGCCCCAGGAGAAATTCCTCACGTCCAGCCTCAGGGCACAGTATTTCTTGTTACCTCCCCACACACGGACTGTGTGGATGCGGCGGGGGCCAGTCTTGGTGTTGGCAGCTGGGTGCCCCAACTCATACTTCCGCTTCTTGTGGTAGGGCTTTCTCTTGTCCCTGGTTTTGTGGCACTTGTGCCAGTTGTCCCAAGAGATGTCCATCGCTCGGCACTGGCTGGAAAGAGGGCCTCTGTTTCTTTAACAACAGTTTCTGGAGATTGTTTTTCCCTTGAACAATGTTTCCTCTCTGCTGTCTTTACACAGTTTTCCTTTCCCAAGGGTTGATTTAAGACAGTGACAATTTATCTATTCTGTATCTGGTAGTTTCATGGAGAAATTTAATGAATAGCCACTTGAAACCATGTGGTGCTACTGAGACACCATCTGAAGGAGACAGATTTTCTGAGTGTAGGCCACAACCATATGTTAACACATTTTAAATTCAAAATCAGGGTTTAAATTTTGATATTTTACAATGGCTTCTTTGATTCCTTCCCAAGATCTAACCATTGAGCGTGTGAAAAGGGCTGGGACTCAGTTTACTGCTGTGCTTGGCATGATGATGTCCTGCAGAAATTCCTTTGGCTTTCTACATGTAGCTCAGCCTCCATATCAGCCAGCTCGCTTGGAGGTCAGAGTACTTCTCAAAGATCCTCAGTGTGTTGTTTCATTTTGAGAGGTTTCCAGCCCTTGTGAGACACCCCTTGGTTTTACAATCATCGCAAAGTTGTTTACGATTCCAAAAACATACCTGCCATCTGTCCATATGTTTGTTCTGCAGCTTTTGATTTCCTAAAATGCTGTAGTAACTGCAATAAGTTCTACCATCTGGATTAATTTTCACCTCAGATGGAAGAGTATATTTTAAGATAAAGATAAAGTAGTAACAGTATATTCTCCTCGGTAATATCCATTTCTATATTTTGAGCTATGGTCCATCAATAAATAATGTTCTGTCAGGCTCCTCAATGGAGTGCCTGAACATCTAAGGAAGGTACAGAAGGTACAAAACAGAAGTTAAGGTACAAACCATGGTGAACACAAGCTTGCTATGCTCCCATGTCTCCTGTCTGTCTTACTGTGCACCTGACACTCATTTTAACCTCACCAGGAAGTCAGTTAACTCTCAATCAGTTTATTGTAATGCCTCTAGGTAATTATATGTGGCAGTTTCAGCAGAAATGAAGAAACAACTTCACTAGAGAATCTAATACAGAAGAATGCAAGTGGCCCTGGGCTTGTTTTCATAAAAGCAGCATGCACCAGGCAGTTGATTCTCTTGGCTGTCGGCACTGAACACTCAGCATGCTGGCTTCGTCCCCTAAATAAGCTTCATCATGCATGGATAGGCTGGCAGCAATCCCGAGGCCATATGCAGATACACAGCCAACTGGGAAATGGGACACAATTCTTCTCCACTCCTCCTCTGAAGAATGGTCTGACAATGCCCTCTTCAGTTCCTTCCCTCTGCCACCCTGACCAGGACTATGCCATATGTGCACAGAGACACAAAATTCCTGATGGGAAGAATGAGGCTGGATCAACCAGACTAGCGGTTTCTCACTGAGGTAATGTGAGGTCAACTTCTAGGGTGGACAATTCAGGAAATTATCCAGCAGTTTTGTAATTGATGGCTATGGGAAAATGAACCACTGAGATGAGTAATTACTTATATTCCATTATTCCATGTGAGAAACAGACATCACAGTTCACCATAACTAAATTTTCATAACCTAAATTGATTACTTTAAATTTCTTCCTACATCTTCACTTAAGAATTTTTAACCATGAATGTGTCTTACCTATATTCCCAATATTTAAAATTGGGCTGTCAAGAGAGTCTAGAGAATTCGAGAACTAAGAACAGTGAAACTCCTGTATGTTCAGCAGCTCCCAAAGCAACACAATATTCCCCAGGAACACTGTTCTGTGCTTCAGCACAAATCATGCTTGTGTATTTCCTAATGGCTCCAATAGTGACCCTCCATTCCCATCAAACATTTGGCCTCCCCTTTCTCCACTCCCCTCCATTCATACATTATACTCTCAGCTCTGTCTAGGGTATCATAAAAGCCAGCAGACGGACCCTCCTGATCTCCTGAACGTGAAACCTAACACTATCATGCGATCGGCTCCTCTTGGCATAGTGACCTTCAAAGGCATCTCATTTGAATAATTACCTTTTTTTCCCTTCTGTAACAAAGTGTTTCTTTCCATTGTGCCTTCCCATAAGCATTTTAACATAATTTACTGTCCGACTACAGTTATTAATACACACAAATGCCACAACCTCTTTCTAGCCCAGGAGACCTGATTAATTCTTCTCTGGGGATGAGCACACCCTAGAAACACATCCCATTCACATAAACACGGGCACAACGATGACATGTTCTTGAGTCTACACCATTCTCCGTCCAACTCCACGAGCCCCTGAAGACCAAGACAGGCTCTTTCCTGCCTGTGCAAGCTCTGGCCCAGGGACAGCCTGCTGAGGAATGGGCTCAGCTGGGTCTGGGTGCTGGGTTCATCTCTTCCCCTCTCCTGTCCCAAAGCAGGTCCATCACCCTGCTCAGGTCTGAACAGGAGTGTCCAGGTTTGTCTGGCCATCCGACTTTTTCAATGTATAGAAGCTCTCCTATTACCTACTGTATTCATTTTATAGGGCTTTTATGACAAAATACCACAGATCGGATGGCTTACAATACAAAACCAATTTCCTCACACTTATGGAGGATGAAAGCCTAAGATCAAGCTGCCAGCTGGGTGGGTTTCCTCTGAGGTCTCGCTCCCTGGCGTGCAGATGGCGCCTTCTCGCTGTTCTGTGGTAACATGGCCGTCCCTCGGGGCGTGTGCACCCCCCCTCCTGCTTCCCCTTCTTATAACAACAGTCAGATTGCATTAGGGCCCCACTCCAGGAATCTCACTTTAACTTATTTAGCTCTTTAAAAGACACTAATCCAAGTATGATTTCATTCTGAAGGACCAAGGGTTGGGACTTCAGCACATGAATTTAGGAGGGACACAGTCTCCCCTAGCAGCCTCCTCCAGGGATGTCAAATAAAAGGAATAAAAGGACACTGATGCTCCAGAGGGCCTTGAAAGCTTGCAGCTGCTTTGTTGTGGTGGGACATGGGTAAGCCCGCACCTTATCTATGATGGCAGATGGAATGACTTTAGTTTTACCAAACCAGATGACACCAACTATTTGACTGATAAGCCTGGACCCTGGATTTTGTCTGTATTAACCTCCCATCCTCTGTTCAGCAAGTGAGACAGCAAGACAGGGGCTGCAATTTATAAGCTGAAAAAAGACTCAGAAGTTACCATGATAACACCAATGTAGTGGAAAACATGTATCCCCTTTGGGTCAGCCCATCAACTGAGGTTGGAGGTCACTAGGCTGTGAGAGTTGGGCTGTGTAAATATCCCTGGAACAAGACAGTAAAAGTCCATTGTTCTTTTTAGGTTAATGCAAATTGATCTTGAATGTGGGGCAGCAGAAATGCTGAAGAAGGTATTGACTAAACTGATAACGAAATGCTATGTGGCTAACACCTCTCCTATTCTCGTCAGACTGGAGGAGATATTAGGAACAGCTGCATTCACTCGGGAGACCACCTTATTTAACTCCCAGTAATCTACTGTCATTCTCCATGTCCCAACTGGCCTCTGCATGGGCCATGCAGGTCTGTTGTAGGAACTGTGCAGTGGCCTCCTAATGCCTACCTGGGCTAACTCCTTAACAATCTTCATGATTGGATCATCTTCCCCTCCCCAGGGCGGGTGGTGTTGCTCCAGCTGTGGGACTCCCCATGGGTTGGCAGCTCTACCGGCATCCAGTTTGCCTTCTGCTTGGTCACATGCGTCACCACTTTAACTCTCAGTTGGAATTCCCTGGCAGTTGTTTGGAGGGTCACGCCTAAGAAGATATCCATTCTCATGTGTTCTAAGATGGAAGCTATGTATACTAAACAGGGTCTGGGTGGCAGTCCCCCAGGTCGTATCACTAGTTCAACCTGTCTGACTTCTGTGGCCCTTCCATAATCACCTATTGCTGCTATGGGCCCAGATAACTGGTAGGTGTTGCCAGTTAGAGCACATTTGTTGTCTGGCCACGCTGACTGGCTCCTTGGCTGTCTCTCTTCCTTTGGTGCCATTGTTTTTCATCACAGTAGGGTGCATCCCTTGCTTACTCAGTTTCTTCTTTTCTCCTAAGTCAGCAACTACCTGGGGCACATGAAATGTTGGCTGCCCTCCCAGGGGGCTTAACATGGAAATCAGTGCACCATGCCATTTGGTAGGCACTGAATACATAATTGTAGCTTTTATTTTGCAGTAAACAATTCATTGTTGGGACTTCAATAATTCTCAGCATAATTAGCATGCCTCATTTCAACTCCCAGAAGATGTCCTGCAACTCTTCTATAGTCTGCCATTGAGAAGGAGCTGTGTGGGCATCTTCCTCATTGGACCTGGCCCCGCTGGAGCCTGCAACCACTTACCATAAAGGTGCCATCATAGGGCTGGATGGTTTGTGATGGGTGCCATTTTACTCATCTTGAGTCCAGAAAGTATAACACTCTCCACCCCCTGTCCCATAGAGAAGCCACCCTGTGATCCACTCTCTCCCCTTGTGTCTGAATCCAAGTCTAAGCTCCCCCAATTCCACAGTGGTGGCATCCCACATCGTGGTTCACTGCCTTCTCTTAGGTGGGGGAAAGTTCTGTGGGGCTAACTTCTGCTGGCACAGTTGGCCCACTTTTATGTTGGTGGTGACCACCACAAGTACCATTTGGCTACAGACTGTGTCCTGGTATTCCAAGGCTTTTGTGTCTGGAAGGCATCCTTTAGCCAGCCTGCTAAAGGTTGTTCTGGATGTGGAGTGGCCCTCTGTCACATCCTCCACTTGTAAGGCATGACATGTAGTGCGGTTGTTACTCCTAAACAGTATATCTCACTTCAGCTTCCTTCTGTCTTTGAGACCAGGGTCTTAGGGACACACACTTATGTCCTTGCCTTTAACACAGTCCCCACCTAAACCCCTCAGGGTAACTGACTACATCCAATTCACAGGGCTGTCCCTGCACTAGAACTCCCAAGGTTTGTATTCATTTCACTGTGACTTTAGCTTCTTCAGAGCCCTCATCCTCCCTTTTGGAACAGTCGCAGTGGGGCACCTTCTTGACTAAGTGCCATGGGGGCCTAAGGAGTTTGCCGAAATGGGGAATAAAGGATCGCCAATGTCCCAGGAGGCCTTGGAAGGTTTCCAACTGCTTTGGTGTGTTGGGACATGAGTAGACCTGCATCTTATCTTATCTATAATGAAATATGGAATAACTATAGTCTTATGTAACCAGATGACACCAAGTATTTGACTGATAAGCCTAGACCCTGGACTTTGTCTGCATTGACCCCCCCATCCTCTGTTCACCAAGTGAGACAGCAAAGCAGGGGCTGCAGGGCAAGAACCTTTATGGAGTCATCCTAACCTTCATCTCCTTCCCACTGGAGCTCTACATCGGACACCAGGACTTAGGCTTCCAGGACGATGTAGTCATAATAGTCCTAACGCATTGGTGTGGCAGTCGGCAACACTTTAAATGGCCTACCAAATAAACAATGGTCTCCAATTTGCTATCCTATCCCTGCAGGCGGCATCTCATTATAGTTACAGCTGTTCTTGTGGCTGACACACCCTAGCCTGTGCAGTGAGCTCTGCCTCAGTGGTTGCTCAGAGTGCAGTCAGGAGTGGCCAACAGCTGCGACAGCTCAGGCATCTGACTGTCACTTTGTCACATTGTCACATCCACCTCAGGCAACAGGTCCTCCAGAACTTTTGGCATTTTGGAGGCATCCCTGTACACTTGCAGCAGGCCCTATCCATCAAGGATTGCAGCTGTTGGGCCCACAGAGATGTGCATGGCCTGCCTGGGATTTCCCCACAGGTCTCCCCTTCCTTGACACCGTTGTCTAAGAACTTGTGGGATTTTCTTTGACCTTGTTCTGGGCCTCCCAATTGTCATGCTAGACCCCTATTGACTGTAATAGGCGTGGCACCATGTCCAAAAGGCTAAAGAGGAGACCTGGAGCCCATGAACAAGATCTAGGGTGTATTGAGGACTTCCATACAATGTGGCCCAGGAAGAGTGTGTTGGACAGGAAAACCACTACCATTTGTAAAACATGTGTAGTTTATATTATGATTTTCACTTAGCACCCTCTACCTAGCAACCTCCAGATTTAACAAAGAGCCTCAATCACCTGGACATCCTGTGTTCCAAGGGATAGGCCAGGGCTTCAGACGTCCTTCACAGACAAGGAATAAACTTCTGGGTGGACAGCTCCTGGATTTCTTAGCTCAGAGCTCTGAACATACATTCTTCTTAAACTATAGGGTCATTCTCACAGTGTGCTTAAATTAATGCTGCCAGGCATTTCTGGCATACATAGATCTGAACACGCACCTCGTAAAACAATGTATAAAAAAGTGTTCATCAAGACTTTGTATTAGGAATATGTATATTTAAACAACCATTAAATACTGCTACTCATTTACTATAATATTACAATGGCTGCACAGCAAAGCATTGGTGAATACTGACAAGGCTCCAGAAAAGAAAGTCTTATTCACTGTTGGTAGGAACATAAAATGGCACTTCCTTTTTGGAAAATATTTTCATGATTTCTTTGGAGTTAAACATGTTAATTGAACAGATGACTCTAAGGTACTTTATTCAACTGATTTTTTTGTTTTGTTTTGTTTTGTTTTGTTTTGAGATGGAGTTTCGCTCTGTCACCCAGGCTGGAGTGCAGTGGCGCGATCTCGGCTCACTGCAACCTTCGCCTCCCTGGTTCAAGCAATTCTCTGCCTCAGCCTCCCAAGTAGCTGTGATTACAGGCATCCACCACCACGCCCAGCTAATTCTTTGTATTTTTAGTAGAGAAGGGGTTTCGCCATCTTGGCCAGGCTGATCTTGAACTCCTTACCTTGTGATCCACCTGCCTCGGTCTCCCAAAGTGCTGGGATTATAGGCATGAGCCACCGTGCCTCACCTATTCAACTGATTTTAATACTTACTTCTACACAGATACTTTCATGGGAATGCCGGTATCAGCTTTCTTCAGTAGAGCTTTTCCTCCTCCATGAATTTTGCTTATAGGGTGATAATTATATAAACAATTCCCATATAATTGGGCCAGGCGCAGTGGCTCACACCTGTAATCCCAGGACTTTGGGAGGCTGAGGAGGGTAGATCACCTGAGATCAGCAGTTCGAGACCAGCCTAGCTAACATGGTGAAACCCCGTCTCTACTAAAAATACAAAAATTCGCCGGGCGTGGTGGCGGGTGCCTGTAATCCCAACTACTCTGGAGGCCAAGGCAGGAGAATTGCTTGAACCTGGGAGGTGGAGGTTGCAGTGAGCTGAGACTTTGCCGTGTCACTCCAGCCTGGGTGGCAGAGTGAGACTCTGTCACAAACAAACAAACCAAAAAAAAAAAAAAAAACACCAAAAAACTGAAAAAACAAACTTCCCATATAATTAGAGTATATACTTCTATTGTTACTTTTTTCAATTTATTAATGACATACTGTAAACAACATTAAAAATAATAATCCCTTTCATTTCTCAGCCCCAGCACAGCTGCCTCCTCCCTGGGGTTTCTGACACTCTCAGGATGTGGGTTTTCACACTGTGTCTCTCGCACAGTAATACGTGGCCGTGTCCTCAGATCTCAGGCTGCTCAGCTCCGTGTAGGCTGTGCTGATGGACGTGTCCCTGGTCATGGTGACTCTGCCCTGAAACTTCTGTGCATAGTTTGTGCCACCACTGTTAGGGTTGATCCGTCCCATCCACCCAAGCTCTTGTCCAGGGGCCTGTCGCACCCAGTGCATATAGTAGTCGGTGAAGATGTATCCAGAAGCCTTGCAGGAGACCTTCACTGAGGCCCCAGGCTTCTTCACCTCAGCCCCAGACTGCACCAGCTGCACCTGGGAGTGGGCACCTGTGGAGAGGACACAGGAGTGGATGAGATCTCCCTGGACTGGACTCAATCTCTTTCTCATCACTGGGACTAGGGAGCCTCCTACCTGTAGCTGCTGCCACCAAGAAGAGGATCCTCCAGGTCCAGTCCATGGTGAGGAGCTGAGCTCTCAGGGGATTCTCTAGAGGACGGATGTGGTTGTTGGGTGATGCTCTCAGGGCAAGGACAGATCTGTATTTACTTCAGTAAATCTCAGGTTATTTGCATATTCATGAGGGGTACTATTTCATAGCTTCATAGCTCTAGACTTGATCCAAGATGAGAAAGAGAACACACATTATTTATGGGCCATGCAACAGTGGGACGCTGAAGCCCTGTCCTAATCCTTGTTTAATGATGTGTGTCCCCTTGTATGCCCAGAACTCTGCTAAAATAAATTGTCTCTGCTGAAAACAAGTTCCCACAAAACATGGTCCTCCAAGTGAACCCATACTTAAATGGCACTTTGACACCTTCATACTTTTCTGGGCTTTGCTTTCTGCCTGTCTTACTACTGTCTCTGCTAAGATTGGCAAGCACTGAATTAATAAAACTATCCCTTTTCTCCATCTCCTAACTATTAAGATATCTGAAAATCCTAGAAATTTCTCCTTTTAAATGTGATTCTCATTGACTTGTTAGGTTAGATAAATCCTACAAATAGTCTTTACTAAATTCTTGTTTAACTTATTAAAGCATGTTTGTTCAAGAAAAGGAAGACATCAACCCCTGGGAGGAACCCCTCCCCAGCCTCCTGTGCACCTGCTCTTGGGCTGCAAGTCTGTGCTGCGGGGAGGCCCGAGCGCTCCCTGCCACCCACACCTTGCACTGCAGGGAGCTTCCTGTTGGGTCTCACAGAGCATTTTTCTCTCAGCCTCTGTAGCTCACTAGGAAGTGACTGTGCCCTGGCTCAGAATGCTCCTTCAGTGACAACATGAGCGGATGACACCACCTCTTGAAATAGTGAATGGGCCTTTGGAAACCCAATGTCCTCTTCAGGGAGGCTCCAAGAGAAGAATCACTAAAATCACCAGGGAGTCCCTTTCCTGGAGGTCTAGATGCACTGGATCACTGGAAACAAAGGGAGGCTAAAACTCTGGGGGGGGTTGGAGGTGGCTCTTTTCTCAATTTGGCTCTTGCAGACAAATACTGCATCTGAGAATACCTGAAGCTGCAGATGGATGTGGATTAAAGCTCACTCCACGTCCACTGTTTCAATAACTCCTACTCAAACATACAGAAGCACAAACACAAACATACTCACACACACTGTGGCTGATTTTCACAGTTATGGGCCCCTAATGTTTCCTTCTTCATAGTATCTTACTCATGGGAAGTGCTGCCGACCCTGACCCTAGGCCTCAGCATGTGACTTTCTTTCTCAAACAGATCTAAAGCAATCACACTGACCTCTTTAATCCACATTAATGATGCTGTTGAGGAGGTAATGTGTGGGGCAGGGGAGCATGGTATGTTCTTACAGTTGACTCTCCCTGGTTTGGTTGCCCTCTTCACCTGAGCACCTTTACAAGGAATCTCCAGTGATACAGCTGATTTTCTCTCTTTCCTCCCTTCCGCAGATGCTGCACCCAGGGCTACCACCTTGAGTCTGACTCCTCTTGGCTAATTTTATCATTTGCATGATAGAGGAAGGCTGAGGAGGAGGGGTCTGTAATATGGAAGTACTTCCTTCCCCCACATAAACTAAGATTTTAGAGAACACCTTCCCTCGGATGAGCTTTCTAGAAAAGTCTTTTTGTGCATTTTTTCTCAGTGATTACTCCTCCCCAGTTCGTGGCTATAGGGAATCTATTTTAATCGCTTCCATGAGAACCTGAAGGCCCTGGAGGGCAAGTCCACACAAGTGTGGGGTGTACAGCCTCTAGGAGCGCTCACCTTCCCCCTAGTCCACACTTGTCCTCCAGACATTCAGCGTAATCACCAGGTAAGTGTTCTCACCAATGTGTTTCCAGGAGCTTCTCTTCCAAGTCAGCAAGTCTCTGCTGTAATTGTGGATGTGCCTATCTCTACAGCTTTTGGAGGGAGTAGTTTTTTCAGCAATTTCAGTTCTTAGATGGATTAAAAAATACTTGATATTTAGATGGTTTGGAGATATATATATATATGGTTTGGATATGGTTGGATAATCACTCTATTTGGGGAAATAAGAATGCAGATATATATATATATATGCTTTGGATATTTAGATGGTTTGGAGATCTCATATATATATATACACACACACATATATATATACACACACACACACACACACATATATATATATATATAAATTTTTCTTTTGAGATGGAGCCTCACTCTGTCGCCCAGGCTGGAGTGAAGTGGTGTGATCTCAGCTCACTTCAATCTCCACCTCCTGGGTTCAAGCAATTCTCCTGCCTCAGCCTTTCAAGTAGCTGGGATTACAGGCTAGTGCCACCACACCTGGCTAATTTTTGTATATATTTTTTAGTAGAGACGGGGTTTCACCATGTTCACCAGGCTGGTCTCAAATTCCTGACCTCAAGTGATTCCTCTGCCTTGACTTCCCAAAGTGCTGTGATTACAGGCATGAGCCTCTGTGCCCCTCTGGTTCAGATGTTTTTTGATGTAGAAATGGAGCTAATGACTTTTAAGATCATCATATATGTGATCAAAACCCTGAAGTCTCCTAAGAGGTCATGTGTGTTCTGGTACTGGAAGCAGAACCCTAATCTCCCTACATAAAAGTGGCATCTGGACAGACACAACTGAACACGTAGGGACAAAGGGAATGGCACAGCAGGACACTTTTGAGGAAGTTTCAACAGTTTCCTTTTTATTCAGAGGAAGCTGCAGCAGGTGAAAGCTGGTTATACCTCAGGTGATGTCATTTTCTGGAAGGCTGTTCTTGCTCTCGTGCTGAATCAAGTGGATGCACCTGGGCCCTCACACCTGGGACAGGAACTCTCATTCCCTAACACAAGGTGCTCGGTGAGAAAGTTTTTTCCAGCTGAAGTGCAGAGAAAGGGGAGAGAAGGAGTTGTCTTTGGTGTCCCAGGATGTGTGTCAACTCTAGGATAAAGTCACCTTTGAGGGGCGCTGGTCTACCTGAGGGGATTACATCAGTTCTGCCTTCAATAACCTGTGGCTGTGGTCAGGAGAGTGACTCATGCCCTTCTGCTCCTCCTACCTGCCTTTCATTAAATGTGCAATGAATGAGTGATCCCTCACCAGAGAGTGTCGTGGTCTAAACATCATGATCTCACACAATAACATCCCCACGCCCAATCTCATATACATTATTGACCCCACTCAATCAGCAATTGGCAAATAATTTGCTCTTGTAGACTTGGTGAATACATTTACTCAGCGTTCATGTCAACAGCCTCTCAGCCACATTTAGCAAAGTGATTGACAAAAATGAACATGTCTCTATCAGCAAATAGAAAATATAAAATCACCAAGTTGGTTGAAACGTACACTATTAACTCTGAACAAATATAATAATTAATTAGGCATATCACAATGGCACACGTTTGTTTTACCCTAAAACTATCCCCTGAGCTTTGCCAAGTCAGTCTCTTGTCTTTCCCCAAAAGCCCTGCCTATCACAAACCTGTTTTTTAAATCCTTTTAATTTTACTGTATTTAGCAGGTCTCATGAATGGAATTGTACAATACTTAGTCTCTTTTGTCCATCTTCCTTCACTTAGAAAAAATGTTAAAATGTTGTTTTCTGAATTAATAACCCATAAGTTTTTATGACTGAATAGTATTCCACTGTGTGAGTATACAAATATTTGAGAATCAATTCTGTTGAAATACATCATGTTTACTTTTGTGTTTGGTAATTATGAATATCGGTTTATGACAATCGATACTGAACAATTGTCTATATTCTTATTTTCAGATAACATTTTTTCTTGGTGAGGTGTTTGTTCAGATTTTCAGTCATTTTAGAATTCTGTTTATATTATGCTTTCTGTTGAGTTTTACAAATTCTTTTTATAGCCTAGAGACAAGACCTTACAAATAGTAAAAAGAAATAGTTTCTGATTTTGAATAGATTCAATATACATACATAATTTTTAATTGTTATAAGCACATAATAGTATATATATTTCTATTTGTTGGGTATATGTGATGTTTTGGTACAGGCATACAATGTGTAATGAACAAAGTAAAAAAAACTACAATAAATCTATAAAACATTGATGAAAGAAATTAAAGAGGACACAAGATGGAACAATATTCCATGTTTATGAATTCAAAGAGTCAATATTGTTAAAATGTCCATTATACTTAAAGCAATCTACAGACTCAATACAATCCCTATGAAAACAACAATGATATTCTTCACAGAAATTAAAAAAAATCCTAAAATATATGTGGAAAAACAAAAGATGCAGAATAGCCCAAGCCATTCTGAGCAAAGAGAACACAACTAGAGAAATCACATTACCTGACTTCAAAATTTATATTTTTATTATTGTTAATTTATTTGATCTAAAAGTTATGTTTCAAACAATGAGAATAACAATACGTTAAATGAGTCTGATGTATGTATACTTGAAATTAATGGCATCAATTTTATGAATGATGGAGGTAATTGAGAATGTTCTGTGTAAGGCACCTGCACTAGATTTGATGTGGAATAATGTCATTTTGAAGATGGAGACAGATTAGTTACACACGCATATTGTAGGCCATGGTGCAAAGCAGGCTCACCATGCAAAAGTGACCAAAACAAGGCCACCTGGGTTGTACACCTCAGCAGCTGTGTTACCCACTGGGACAAAGCTCTGAAGGACATCCTGCCTCCAGGGAAGAGAAGAACAAAGCCCAGGGTGTCCCTAGCTGTTTTTCCCTAAATCAAGATTTTATATCCTCTAGGAGAAACAGGAACAAACCTGAGCTGTTGCAGACAGACAGGATGTCCTTGGCTCTGTGCACGTTCGGGAACAAGATCAACTTGTTCTGAGTCTCTATTTAGTGATTTAGGTTTGGGGAAATAAGAATGCAGATCTGAAATTATGGAGCTTTCAGAAGGTTTTCTTGTGTCTCAGTGCAATTTCTTCATGTGTTATTTTGGCTTATGGTATTGATAGGCCCACAAAAACTAGATTTAATTCAATAATTCAAGTGATAGAGCAAAATTGAAAGAGCTGAGGGGGTTTCTAGCAGGATTTAGAAAGTTTAAAATACTTCATGTTAGAAAATGTATTTGCTGGACATTGATGGGACTGGAGTACAGAAGGATGTGGGGGAGTCCAAGGATTGTGCTTTCACACACACCACAATGACTTCTGCTGTCCCTTCCCTCCCTCCCTCCCTCCCTCCCTCTCTCTCTCTCTTTCTTTCTTTCTTTCTTTTTCTTTCTTCTGTTTCTTTCTTTCTCTCTTTCTTTCTTTTCTTCTTTTCTTTCTGCTGAGTGAGCACAGAAGTACACACAGATATAAAATTCACTGAATCACCATTAGCTGTTCTTCCTTGTGCCTCCCACCCAGTTCAGGAGGAATTGCAGGTCCTACAGAATTCTAGTTCTAAGAGAGTGAGAATCTTTATATGGCTGATTATTCCAGAATTTTCTATAATGATACAGCTGTTGTTTCTTTTAGCCAGTTTTTATTGAATTCTATTCTTTTCTATTGAGTCGTAAAACTTATTTCTATATTCTGTTGCAAGTTTGTTTTAAGATATATTATATATATAATATTCTTGAAATCGGAAAGGTTCTGTTCATTTTCTTAATGTAATTATTTAAATATGAAACTTATTTTATTAGAAATTACAAATAATTTTTGCATATATTTATGACATATGTTGTTTAGTTATGATACATGTATACATTATGAACTGGGTGACTCAAGCCACTTATATTCATCACCTCACAAATTTATCATTTCTTAGTGGGGAAATTTTAATGTTTTTTTTTAGTAATTTTGAAATATATACCACCTGATCAGCTATAGTTGACATGCTGTGCATTAGAAAAGCATAACTTATACCTCCTGTCTAACTGGAACATTGTGCACTTTAACCCACATCTCCCTTTCCCAGTCCACCCCTCCAGCCCCTGGTAACCAACATTCTACTCTATCTCTGCAAGTCTACTGCTTTAATATACTACAGTGAAATCTTGAATTACTCTTCCTCCGTTCCTGGCTTGTTTCACTTAGCATAAGGTCCTCTAGATTCAGGCATGCTGTCACAGAGGCAGGGTTTCCTTCTTATTTAAGGAAGAACATTACTCTGTTGTGTCTGTATGCATTTTCTTTATTCATTCATCCATTCATGGGAATTTAGGATGTTTCCATATCTTTACTATTTTAAAAGATGCTGCAATGAACATGAACATGGAGTGCAGATATCTCTTTGACATGTTGATTTCATTTCCTTTGGATACATAGCCAGTAGTGAGACTGCTGGATTCTACAGTAGATTTTGTTTCTTTATTTTTTGAGGAACATTTATAGTATTCTCCATAAATAGCTGTATTCATCTACATTTTCACTCTCCATATTCTGAGTTCTGTTTCTGTCATTTCAGCCATCTCAGCCCCATTCAGAACCCCTGTTGAAGAGGTGCTGCGGTTGTTTGGAGGAATGAGGGCGCCCTTTTTGTTCTCATGACTTTTGCACTGGTTCTTTCTCATCTTTGTGGGCATATCCACCTTCAGTCTTTGAGGTTGCTGACTTTTGGATACATTTTTATTTTCTTTTATCCTATTGGATGATCTTGAGGGTTTGATTGTGGTATAAGGTGGATTCAGCCAACTGGCTTCATTTCTGGAAAAATTTAGGTGGTCAGTGCTCAGCTCCCAACACCTGGACTGTGTGCTCTAACTCTGGGGGAACTTATACAAGTCCCTGACTTGGTTCTCTGGCTCCTTAAGGTTAGGAATCCACTGTCCTTGGGGGGCTGGAGGTGTGGCAGCTGTGACAGAGTGCTAGTGGGTGTCTGGGGGCCTGCCTCCCTGCAGGTGTTCACCACAGTGGCAGAGGCACTGCATCTGTGGGTGTGTGGGGCCCTGCTGGTGACTGTGTTCAAAGTCACGCTGGAGGTGGTGTTGGCTCAGGGGTGGGACACTTGTGGGCACAGGTCCGGGTGCCGTATTCATGCCCCACAAGCAGGAGCAATTTCTGAATGTGTGAGATGATCTGCTATTCTCTGTGCAGAATTAGTGCAAGTGCGGGACGCTGACAGGAGCGGGCCTGGCTTTTTCCCCACCAAAGCTACCTCTGCCGTGGTGGTTGGGGTGGGGGGAGGGGACTGCACTCCACGCAATGGTGGGACAAGAAAAGCAAAACCCACCTATACAGACATGTGCCTGCAAAGTGATGTGGGGAGTTACGTGGGCCTGGGGGAACCTACAGTATTCGGAGGAAGTGTGTAAGCTGGTGTGTGCACATGAGAGCTGCCCGATTGGAGCTCTCCACCAGTCAGGCATGGTCTGCCAGGGCAGAAATTTTGGTGCAGGATCCCAGGGTGCCCGAGACTGCCCTGCAAGCAGGTATGGCCAGGCTAGGGCCCCAGGAGAGGCCAGTAGATGGAGGGGCACTCAGGTCCGTACATTATTTGAGAATATGGCCAAGTTTTATGTGAATGAGTGATGACTTGATTGTAATGCAGCATTTTATTCCAGTACACAAACATATCTCAAATTGTTTAACATTCACCTGTAATGGATATTCAATGTGTTCTCTCAGTTTCTGGCTTTTATACAGAAAGCAGCTATTCAGTGTGGGAATGTGAAAAAAATGAGAAAACTGTGATTTTATTCTGACCTCATTAACAACAAAGCTGAACAGCTACAAATAAAAGAGAGAAAAAGCATTCAACATATCTGAGTCGATTTCACCGAGCAAACAAGAAAACTGAAATCTGACAAGATAGGAGCCTGCAAAGAGAACCAGGACCTACCTGCTAGTGTACATAGGGCAGGTGCCACTGGATGGCATTTGAGATAGAAACAGACTAACCTAGAAATACTTAATGACTTTTTTTTAGTATGCATGTACTAATGGTGTTAGAGTGGCCTAGTGCTTGCAAGCTTTTCCTAGAGAACTTGAAAAATCCACGGACAACTTCCTCATCTGGTGTCTTGTGGTGTTGACTGGGGAAAAGAACAGCAGCTCCTGTGGAATGCCTGGATGCACCTCCACTACCTCCAGGGGAAATCCACCAAAGCATGTGTCATGTGAGCTGTGGTGAAGTCAACAGAAACAAAAGGAAACAGAGGACACCAAGGAAACTTGATCCAGAAACACCTCCCATCTCCTTCCTCAGGAAAGAAATCCTTACTCTTTAGGGTAAGGATAGTGGGTAAAAAGCTGGGGACACTGGTGAAAAACAATTCTGTATGGGAAAATACATTCCAGCCCTGGGGAAAGAGTTAAGGACAGGACAATCTGCAAGGCCACTCCCCAGAACTATGCTTACTACTCCTGCATAAGAAGAAGACTCAGTCAGAAGGTTGGAGGACGTCCCGCTTTGTCCAAGCTCCTTCACCACACAGTCAGCAATTTAAACTGTCAGTAGGGTGCACTTTCCACAGCTGAAAGAGACAGACTCCCTGGGGAAAACTAAATATAAAGACCCAGGATCAAACAGGGACACAAAAGCAAGTATCATGGGAGGAACTTGAAATCTCTGTGGACAGCAGAAGCTGACTTCAACTCTGATAATTGTGGCATCCATAAATTGCAAATATAGCCCTGAATAGATACACACAAATGTCTATAATGAAGGCCCAGCAGAATGGAATGTGTGACCATCTTCAGGAAGAAAATAATGAATACATGAGTACAAGAAAATAAATTACAAATAAAAGTCAAACTTGAATTCTATATGTATTAAAAATTTCATTTAAAGAGAAAGTCAAATGAATACCCTGTAAGACAATTCGATTCTGAGAAAATTTATTGCCAGTGCATTCATCCTTCAGTAGGTGCTTTGGCAAATTTTCTGCCAGGGTGAGTAGCCATATGATATACATCTGAAACATGAATCTATCCAAATAAAACAGGTGGTCAAGAATGAAAAAATGAAGTTGAAATGTAGTTTTTATATTTTTAATTGTTCTAATATATGTCTATGTAAAGTAACGATAAAAATGCACATATTATATTTTATAGCACATATAAGTGCAAACTGAGAATAAACTAAGACAACGGATGAGAAACAGGGTTTAGAAGAATACAGTTATAATAGCTCTACAACCTATGAAGAGGTTTTACATTATTTGAATTAGAATCTGATTATATACAATTCGTATTGTATATCTTATGGCCAATATAATATTCATAAAGGATGAACTAAACGATAAGTTAATAGAGAATAAACATGATCATAAAATGCTAAATTAAAACAGAAATTAACAGAAAAATAGTAATACCAGTTTTAAAACAGAATTTATTATAGTTGTTTTAAAAAGCAAGACCCAACTATTAGCTCTGTATAGAAATTTGCTCTACATAGGAAAGTTAAATACAGGAAAACATGGACCATGAAAATATGAACGAAAAGAAAGCGTGCTTAGCTATGTTAAATTCAGACAAGGTAGACATAAGACTTTCAGGAATCAAGGGGCATATTACATAGGGTAAAGGGATCAGTTTTCTAAAAGGCATCACCAAAGATTTAACCAATGGATCTGCAATAGAAAATAGGCTAACATCTATAACAGATAGAGACTTCGACACTTATTGTGATTGACAAAACAAACGTGATAAAATAGGTAAATACATAAGTGACCAGAATCAACTTATTTCACTAGTTTCATTTATAGAATATTCAATGGGAAGACAGCAGGAACCCAAACTGTGATTAACCAGAAGATATTAGAGGGACATGGTGATTGAATTTGATGTGGTTACCTGAGTTGAACAAAGAAACAAACAAAAAGCAATAGGAAAGTGAGACTTTATCTCAAAAAGAAAAGAAAAAGGAAAAAAGGAAACTGTTAAAAATTGGCAAAATTCAAATAAATCCCAGAGCTGAATAAACAGAAAATTATCAATGTAAATATATTAGTCCCATGTCCCATTTTTTTAACATACTAACTTTAGTGAAAACTCGGAGATGGATGTGAACACACTGTATTTTCCTTACAATTGTTCTGATAATCTATAATTATTCCAAATAAAAAGTGTGTAAAATATAAAGTAACAATCATAAAAATAATAGTTCAAAGAACTTATAAAATAGGCTTCTGAAAATAATATTGTTACTAACATTATTATGGATAATTATTTTAGAGGATAATACTGAAATGATCATCAAAGTAGTGGACAGATGTTTATTTATTTCAGAAAAAGATGTGAGGCATCTCATATTAAACACTAGTGATGGAAGTGTTTATAGAGTTATTTTATCATCTATAATACGATGGATGAAAAGCATTATCATAAGCATTTGATGGATGAAAAGCATTACTCATAAGCATTTATTTAGCCAATATCATGAATGTATTATAATTTCCTCAATTGTGCACCACTTTTGTGTTAATACCATGTGAACATTTTCCACTGCGTGTGTCATATCTAAAAATTTGAACTAGTTTGTTTCTTATTAACGTGACTCTTGTAAATGCTGTAGGCATTGCTAATGTTCTCTGTAATTTCTCTACTGGTGACTTTTTCCTAATATTTTAACATGATAAATTTGGATTAATACAACTATGTAATTTAATAATATATTTTAAACTTCATAGTCGTACACACACAGACACACACACACACACACACACAACAGCCAAGCAATGACACATATATGCGTCCATGCAAAAATGAATGTATATTAAACACCAAAACAACACACCCATTTTTTCTATATTATTTTAATTATTTAACTGAATGTAACTTGTATTTGCAGTTTCATTTTTGAATGAATGTAAATGCCATTCTTGCCAAATATATTACTTAAGTGTACAGTGGTATTTACTTTTTTTTTTGAGACAGTGTTTTGCTCTTGTCGCCCAGGCTGGAGTGCAATGGCGTGTTCTCGGCTCACCGCAACCTCCACCTCCCGGGTTCAAGCGATTCTCCTGCCTCAGCTTCCCCACCATGCCCAGCTAATTTTGTATTTTTAGTAGAGAGTGGGTTTCTCCATGTTGGTCAGGCTGGTCTCGAATTCCCGATATCAGGTGATCCACCCACCTTACCCTCCCAAATTGCTGAGATTACAGGCATGAGCCACTGTACCCAGCCAGTATTTACTTTTTAAATATCAGTCAGTTATTAATAAATTGAATAATAAGACAAACATCACTTAAATTTTTATTAAATCATTGATTAAAGTAACATTGTATTTTTTTAAACTAGGCAAGATATAACTTTTCTATTTGAAAAATTTTTTAAAAAACTTTTTGGTGTTAATTTTCAATACAAACTCTAGTCTTTATTTGCCAATATGCCTTTATAATAAAGAACATCCAGTGATAGGAAACTGAAAGCAGCCCATGCTTTGCAGGATTCAATCACAATGGCAGCTTGCTGGAGGGTGGTCTGAGAGTGTGCAAACACATTAGGGATTTGGACTTCATGAAAGCACTAGTGAGCCCCTGGGCTGAGCACACAGAGGGTAGCATGAGTTGCAGAGCCCAATCTGTGGTACTGAGGGAAAAAGAGGAATGGGTGGGGGTTATGTCTGCAGGACCCTAGAAAAGTGTGATGAGGGCAGAGAGTCTGCAGGTAGAGCATATTCTAAGGAGAACTGTTACTCTCCTAAACTTGGTTGGCTTCAGTGATCATGAAAAGAAGTGAACTGATTTACCAGACATGGGGGACAGAAAGTAAAAGGACTTCCTGTTTCCTGCATGGAGAGTGAGGAAGATAAAATATTTTGACAGAAAAAGAGAAGATGGAGAAAGTTTGAGAAGCAAAACACCAGGGGCCAAAGTGGAGGACATGAGCCCTTAAAGCGGTGTTTCATCTGCACAAACAGCCAATGAAAGGAAAAGAAACTGGACCCCACGCATATGCTGAGTTGTTAGAAAAGCATTTACAATAGTGTGTCTGACAGCACAGAAAACAAAAAAATTGTGCATAGAGCCAGACTTTGGATTGAATATACACAATTAAAAAAAATTATACTGAGATATATCATTGCTAGTATAACTCTGAAAATAGGCAGAGTTTAAAGTTGAATTGAACCCCTGTTCTAAGTTAATGTTTTATAGGTGAAAGAAACCATGAGTTACAAGGAAGACATGGTAAGAGATCCTGGGGAAGACTTTTGCTTGACCAGGTCAGGAATCACCAAGGTGGAAAAGGAAACCTCACCCTCCCCAGGTACCTGATATGGAGCTGCCTCCAAAGAGCCCCTTGGAGGTCCTGAGTGTCCCCTCGTGTCCTGAGCCATCCTTGCTGTCCTGAACACCTGCTGGTGGTTCTGAGCGCCCTCTGGTGGATCTGAGCGACCCCTGGAGGTTCTGAGCGTCCCCTGGTGTCCTGAGCGCCCCCTGGTGGTTCCTCAGTGCCTACTAGTGTCCTGAGTGTCCCCTTGTGGTTCCTGAGCGCCCCCTGGTGGTTCTGAGCACCCCTTGGTGTCCTCAGTGCCCCCTAGTGGTTCCTGAACCTCCCCTGGTTTCCTGGGCACCCTCTGGTTTCCTGGGTGACCCCTGGTGGTTCCTGAGCGCCCCCTAGTGTCCTGAGCATCCCCTGGTGTCCTGAGCGCCCCCTGGTGGTTCTGAGCATGCCCTGGTGGTTCTGACCGCCCGCTGGTGTCATGAGCGCCCCCTGGTGGTTCCTGAGCTTCCCCTGGTTTTCTGAGTGTCCTCTGGTCGTTCTGAGCACCCGCTGGTTTCCTTAGCATCCCCTGGTGTCCTGAGCACTCCCTGGTGGTTCTGAGAATCCTCTGGTGTCCTGAGCACCCCCTGGCAGTTCTGAGTACCCCTTGGTGTCTTGGTCACATCCTGTGGTTCTCAGCACCCCCCCACCACAGTCTCATGAGCGCCCCCTGGTGTCCTGAGCGCCCCCTGGTGCTTCTGAGCACCCTCTGGTGTTCTGAGCACCCCCTGCTTCTTCTGAGCGCTCCCTGGCAGTTCTGAGCGCCCCCTGGTGTCCTGAGCACCTCCTGGTGTTTCCTGAGCGCCTGCTGGTGTCCTGGGCTCCCCCTGGTGATTCTGCCTGCCCCCTGGTGTCAACACCCCTTAGTGGTTCTGAGCAGCTCCTAGGTTCCTTAGGGCCCCCTGGTGGTTCTGAGTGCCTCCTGGTGTCCTGAGCACCCCCTGGTGGTTCTGAGCGCCCCCTGGTGTCCTGAGCACCCCCTGGTGGTTCTGAGTGCCTCCTGGTGTCCTGAGCACCCCCTGGCGGTTCCGAGTGCCCCCTGGTGTCCTGAGCTATCCCTGGTGGTTCTGAGTGCTCCCTTGTGTCCTGAGCGCCCCCTAGTGATTCATAGCACCTCCTAGTGTTCTGAGCGCCCCCTGGTGTCCTGAGCGCCTCCTGGTGGTTCTGAGCACCCTCTGGTGTCCTGAGGGCCCCTTTGTGGTCCTGAGCGCCCCCTGGTGTCCTCAGCACCAGCTAGTGGTTCTGAGCGCCCCCTGGTGGTTCATAGCACCCCCAATTGTTCTGAGTGCCCCCTGGTGGTTCTGAGCACCCCCTGGTGTCCTGAGCTCCTCCTGGCAGTTCTGTGCACCCTACCTGATGGTCCTGAGTGCCCCCTGGTGGTGCTGAGCACCCCCTGGTGTCCTGAGCCCCTCCTGGTGGTTCTGTGCACCCTCCCTGATGGTTCTGAGTGCCCCCTGGTGGTTCTGAGCAGCATCTACCGCATAGTCCCCTCCTGTCTCCCTGCAGTGAGCTTTGTGTCTGGGCTCACACAGGGTTTCCCTCACTGTGTCACTCACAGTAATACATGGCCTTGTCCTTGGCTTTCAGATTGGTCATTGTAAGGCAGACTGCACTTGAAAGGGTGTTGCTTGAGATTGTTAATTTATTTGTATTCATGGAGAGTAACCCTGAGAATTCATACTTGATTGCTCACTGTTGGCATCCACACCTATCCCTGTTGTGAAGCGTGCTGGACCAAGCTCATGCTGTAGCCAGTAAAGGTGAAACCAGAGGCTTTGCAGGAGAATCTCAACCGCTGGGCTGTAAAATTTTTCCCCCTCTGACTCCATCAGTAAACTTCACACAGGACTTCCATGAACACAGAAAACAGACTGAGAAAATCCCCATGAGGAGCAGCCACAGCTGGACCTGTTTTACAAAGGCCACTAATGTTGACGGGGATGAGAAGGGAATCCAGATCAGTGCAGACCCCATGGTGTGGACACTGAGGAAGGGCACAGACATGGGGTGGCTCCTCGCCAGGGCCTGAGGGAACAGGGGATAAGCTGCCTTTCTTGAGAAGGGGAGGGGACACATTTCCATGTCTTTCTTTTTGTGGTCATGGGTGCACCGCTCAGCATTGCTCATCCATCCTCTGTGTCTACATTTCAGGGAAGTCAAGGTCAAAGGATTTCTGGGTCTGGATGCACAGAGTTAATCTGCCCATTACTCTTTTTTATTCTCTAGTGTGGACGCTGTTCAGGTATTTTCATAATAGCAAACATTATCAACAAATATGTCCAGTAAGAAAATAAAAATATGTTTCCAGAGAAAATGGACACCTGTCTCTAATTGGTACATTTAGAGCTGCAAACTACTGTTCTTGACAATAAGGCAAAGTTAGGTTACAATGAAAAAAATACATATCTACGCCTTGTCAGGGAGGGGGTTTATAATTATCATTATCTTGAGATCATTTTGCCACAGAACAATTCGACATTGGATATATGTGTTTGTGTAAGGAAACAGTCAATGTGGACATATGTGTACTTATCTGAATTGAGTTCACATGGAGACATGTTTGCTTGTCTGAGACAAGAGTCCACATGAGGAAATGTCTGTTTTCTGAGGAAAGAGTAAATGTCAGAACATATGTGGTAGTCTGAGGAAAGAGTCCACGTGGGGACATGTGTGTTTGTCTGAGGAAAGAATCCACATGAGTAACGGTGCATTTATCTGACAGAAGAGTCCACATGTTGACAGGTGTGTGTCCCCATCTGAGGGTAAATGCCCATTCAGGGACAGTGTATGCCTGAACTGAGCTGAAGTTTGGGGAAATATTTCTCAACCAAGGAAAGAAAATAATCCTGTGGGTTATTTGCTTGTCAAGAGGAAAAAACCTGGGTCACGTAGAAAATTGATTTTAAAAAAAATTAAAAAATTAAAGGTCTTTAGTGAATGGCAACATCTTATATGCAAATCAGGAAAATTACCTCATTCTTTGTTGCATACATCTCATGAAATCTCCACCCTCACAAAATAAGTAATGAGATAATTTTATACAATCTGCATTTGATCCTTGGGTTAATGAACTGCTAAGTACTTTTTTTTAATTGTGTATATTTAGGTTTATATTTTCCATCATAAAATTATGTGCTTAGACAAATTAATTGTGTCATATCTGAACCATTGCATATCACTATAAATAATTTTAATCTTCTTAAACAGTGTCTTTTTAACTTATTTTATACCCAGTCTCTAAGCTCCTGGAATATCCTCTATATGTTTACTTGACTACAGTTTTGGCTTTTATAGAATTTCAAATAAATCAAATTATACAGTGTCATTGAAATGACTTCACTGAAGAAACTGGAAAATGAAGTTGCTGACCTAAGGAACTTTGAAAATGAGGAAACTCTATAATAAGTGTAAAGAAACTGAATATAAGCACTCTATTCTAGTAGATAAACATGTTTCCAACAAGGTTACAGCTTTACATTTCTGATACTGCTATGCATGTGTCCTGAAATTGTGCAGCTAAGTAATCAAATGGCATATGGTTGGATGGGGTTCCTCACTTTGCAGTGAGTGGTTATAGACAGTCAAGGAAGGAAGGCTAGAAAGGTCCATGTGGTAGCATAATTGGGTAGAGAGACCAGTGTGTTCTCACTTTTAATGTAATCAAATTACAGAAGGTTAGATACATAGTTTACTAGGCCAGTCAGTTGAGAGGTCCTACAAGTACTTATACCACGTTAACAATGCACATACCCAGTATTACAATTTTTTAAATACTATTCTTTAACATCAGAAACAAGCAGTCTTTAGAAAAATGGCTGATTCTATGTACGAAAAAGATAATATAGAAAATGAGTTTAGAATTTATTATAATAGCAGGAAACAGGGAAGTGTTCAAAAACAAAAGCATGAGGTGAGCTGTAAGGATGCAGGATCCAAACTAAATGAGCTCCCAGCACATAATAAAGCTGTGGTGGTTTGAAAAATAAAATGAATAATGTAGCATGGATCTTCTTCAGAGTATGAAATAGACATCCATAAACCAATACACATATTAATAAGTGATCAAATAAAGAAATAATAGGAAGAAGAACACATCTTTTTACAGAAGTATTCCAACTATGTTAGGTTGATAGTCCTCCAATCAAGTAGGTGAAGCTTAAACACTCATGAGTTGATTGTAGCCTGAGACTAGAGACACGGAAAAAGTAATCATATTAGTATATTTTATAATGAGATTTCAGATATAATACCAAAGACATGATCTGTAGATGAATAAAATTTTATTTTTTAAATCTAAATTTGTATAAACACACACACACACACTTTTCTGCAATACACACTGATAAGGGAGTAAAAGACAGCCACAGACTTGGAGAAAATACTTCCAAGTCACATATTTGTTAAATGAATTCTTTTAATTTGTTAAATGACTTTTATAATCAATATGCAAGTAAACTTACAACTAATCAAAAGAAAACAATACAGTTAAAAATGAACCAAATATGAGAAGAGGCATCTCAGCAAAAACTATATGAAAATTGTTAAATGTAAATTTTTATTAAGGAAATGTGCATTTAACTAAAAATTAGATACCATTACTCACCTATTAGAATGGTTAAAACACATAATTCTCATAATTGTAAATGGCAATATGAATGTGGAAAACCAAGAACTATCATGCATTGATGGTGGGAATTCAAAATGCTACATGCACAAATGAGTTTTTTTGGCATTTTTAAAAATAGAGATAAAATGTGATTTGTGTATGTGTTCCAAAATATTTACAACACTGATTCAGAAATTGATGTTTACACAGATACCTACAGAGGAAGTTCTGTATCAGTTTTATTAATTCAATCCCTGAAATTTGCTTGCAGAATAAATATTGTATGAAAAATCTCTCAAGTAATTAAAATTTCTCAAGTACACATTTATATTGTTTCTTTTCCTTAATGACTTAATGTCATTTTCTGAGAAAGTCTTCAATCTAATAATCTTTGTCATTTCCTCCATGCCAGTACAGCTGCTTCCTCCCTGGGGTTTCTGACACTCTCAGGATGTGGGTTTTCACTCTGTGTCTCTCGCACAGTAATACACGGCCGTGTCCTCAGATCTCAGGCTGCTCAGCTGCATGTAGGCTGTGCTCGAAGATGTGTCCCTGGTAATGGTGACTCTGCCCTGGAGCTTCTGTGAATATTTTGTGTTACCATTGCCAGCGTTGATCCATCCCATCCACTCAAGCCTTTGTCCAGGGGCCTGGCGCATCCAGTTCATAAAGTAGTCGGTGAAGGTGTATCCAGAAGCCTTGCAGGAGACCTTCACTGAGGCCCCAGGCTTCTTCACCTCAGCTCCAGACTACACCAGTTGGACCTGGGAGTGGGCACCTGTAGAGAAGACACAGGAGTGGATGGAAGCCCCCTTGACTGGCCTCAATCCCTTCCTCCTCACTGGGATTTGGCAGCCCCTTACCTGTGGCTGCTGCCACCAAAAAGAGGATCCTCCAGGTCCAGTCCATGGTGAGGAGCTGTGCTCTGGGGGCTTCTTCTGAGGAGGGATGTGGTTGTTGGGTGATGCTCTCAGGGCACAAAGATATCTATAGTCATATCAGTTATTTGCATATTCATGAGCGATGCTATTTCATACCTAACACAGCATGAGAAAGAATGGAGAGATGACACATGGATTACCCAACAGGAGGATGCTAAGGGTTCAAGCTATAATCCCCTTAGAGGCCATGTGTGCCCTGCCACATCCCTAAGCTGTATGTTGACAGAGCTTCTGGAGAACAATTTTCTCCAGAACAGTGGAGAACACTGGAGAACAATTTTCCCTAGAACAGGACTTCACTGGGAACCCACACTTGAATAGCTCAGAGGTAATTTAAAGCATTTCTAGGCTTTAATACATGAATGTGTTATTTGGGGGATGAGTGTGTTTCTCCAAAAGTTGCACTTATTTATATAAAATAAAAGCTTAATTGATCTCCAGATGCTTACTATTAAGGTATGTAGCAGGGTTAGAAATCTCCAGTGTAAATTGATAAATTCTTGCAATTGAATAGGATATTTATGGAATCTTCAGCAGTCTTTGTCAAATACTTATTTTAGATTTTTTTAGAAGAATGACACAGATCTTGAGAGGAATCCCTCCCCAGCCTCCTGTGCACCTGCTCTGGGGCTGGGGCCTGTGCTGGGTGGGCCTTGAGCGCCCCCTGCAGCCCAGCCCTTGCACTGCAGAGAGGCTCCTGTCTGGGCTCCCAGAGCATTTTCCTCCCTGTATGAAGTGGCTGTGTCCTGGCTCAGAATGCTTCTTTAGTGACACGTGACACCATGTCCTGCTGACACCATCGCTTGCAATAGTAAATTGGTTGTAGGAAAGCCAGTGAACTCTGCAGAAACACCCCAAACAAGGATTCTATGAAACCACCAGGGAGCCCCTTCTCTGGAGCTCCGGAAGCACTGGATCAGTCCACACTCACAATGAGTCCAGGAGCTCCCAGGGGCTTTGGGAGAACACCTAATCTCTTGTCGGTTCCTTTGGATGAACATCTCATCAGATAATTTCTAAACCTACAAAATCATGGGTCTCAGAGCCCACTGCGAAACTCCTAATACACACACACACACACACACACACACACACACACACGGGTGGTTAGAGTCCCCACAGTAATGGACACACACACACACACACACACACACACACACACACACACACTGTGTCTAGAGTCCTCACAGTAATGAGAGGGAACTGTGTCTTACTCCCTGTGTCTAGCGCATTGGCTGTGTGCCCATAGTGCCTCTAGGCCTGGGGATATGCCCTTGTCAAGCAGAACAACAGCAAACACTTTACTGGAGATGGGGCCCTGCACACACTGTGGCTTCCCTGTTCTCCCAGAACCTGGGATCCTGCAGATACCCCTAAGAAGAGTCCAGGCTCCCCCAGGAGGGTCAGCCACAGCCCAGCCCCACCGAGTTGGTGCAGCCTGCACTGAACTGCTGACCTGTGGAGAGGGTCACAGCAGACCCACAGCCCAGCCAGCCCCACTCCCAGAGGCACATCAAGGAAGGGGGCAGAACCCTTGGGACTCTTGATGGGCATCTTTTCAGGAGCAGACACAGGAACCGTTCCAGGAACAGGGGACCTGGGAAGGTCAGTAGCTGGTCAGGGTTTCTGAGGACGAGTGTCAGTGATGGGACCAGCCTGTCCCTTCTCATATGGGATGTCTCTCCTGGGGATCCTGTACTGTCTTATTTGTGCAGGTCCACTCTGTGGGACTTGTCTTTATAAATCTCAAATCTCAGGAACAGGAGAGCTGTGCTTCAAAAGCCCCCATAGAGAAGACACATTCCCATCCTGCTGTGATTGAAACAGCTCCATCCTGGGCATGGGGAGGGCTCATGTGTCCCACCTGGGATGAGAAGCAGCAGCCACACGTGAGCTGAGGAGGACCCAAGGCTGCTTCCCAGCACTTCCCCACAGAGTGAAATGTGTCTGTTTGCCCCAAATCCAAGCTGGTCCTGTGACTTGCTTCTTTCAAATTTCTTGGCCTGGAAAGTGCAGGCACCAGCTGTCAATGTCACCACTATTGTGACACTGTACACAGAACCAGGGAAGGATCCCAGGGATGGGGCTGAGGACAGACACTAGCTAAGTGGACCCATTGAAAACATGCAGATCTGCTGGGGTTCACACTCCTGGAAGGACAGATCTTGGAGGGTTTGGAGGAGGAAGGCGCCACTGTCGGTGACTCAGGAGCTGCTGCTCTGCGGGTCACCTCGTTGGCAAGTAACAGTGGGTAGGTGAGTGTGGTTCATCCCCTACAGGGACAGCCCCTCTTCACCAGGAAAGAAAGTGGCTTTGTTCATACTGGTTTCCCCGGCCGTCTGGTCATCCTCTCTTCCTGACCTTCTTCCCATGGCCCTCAGGGCTGTGAAACATGGACAAAGACACTTTCTACTCCAACCGTTGATTACCCAGGTCAGCTCCCTCTAGAAAAGCCATGATGCCTTCCTGGTTCTGTGTGCCTGGCTGAACCAGAATGGACACACATGGATATACCAAAGTGTCAAAGTGGAGGAGAGGAATCTTGGCAAATATCACACAGGAAAGAGAAAGGAATTCGTTTGTATGCAATGAGAGGGTGCAGGGCATGTCTGGAGGCTGCAGGAGCCAGAAGCTTCATATTTTTTTAGTGACCTCGGTTTTGTCTCCCCTGTTGTTGTGAGGCTTCCCTGAGTTCTCCTCCTCAGATAGACTCTGTGCCTTTTCACACAATGACCTGTAGGAGATGTTTACACCAAACAAGAAGCCTCAAACATGGTTTATATTCTGATCTAAATTTTCGGAGGATAAACTCAAGACAGATTCAAAGAAGTGATTATAAAGTATCAGTATGTAGCACTTGGTTGAGAAAACCTTAAACTCATATTATTTTTATGAACCACATGCATAACAAAACTTTGTCCAATTCCTCCACTTTATCAGAGACTGCCTGCAGGATGAATTTCAATGCCATCTAATTTAGAGTAGGAGCAAAACTTAAAATCCTCTATAGGTCTGAGTGCCACTAACAACCAAAAAAAATTTCGACCATTATGAAGTTTTAAGAGATGCCACAATGACAGCCTGGGTTGATAGGTGATGGCATTTTCCCTGAGCATATTCTGTGAAGAGTGATTATGGTAGCTTTTCCTTCTAATGAGGAGAAAGCAACAGAGAAAGTAAAAAAAATAATAATAATAATCACGAAACAGAAAAAAGTGGCCCAAATTGTTTAACAAAAAAAAAGCACTAGAAACTGCCACAAATTAAAAGGAGATATATTGATTACCTAGCAGAAAATTCAAAGTAAACCTTATAAATATGTTCACTGAGCTAGGGGAAGAATGCACGAACAACATGAAAGTATTAACAGGGACAAAAAAGGGAGAGAGATGAGATACAATGATTTGTGGCTTAACAGTAGGGATACATTGGCCAGGCGCAGTGGCTCATGCTTGTAATCCCAGCACTTTGGGAGGCCAAAGAGTGTGGATCACCTAGGTCACGAGTTCAAGACCAGCCAGGGCAACATGGTGAAACCCCATCTCTCCTAAAAATAGAAAAAAAAGAATTAGCTGGGCGTGGTGGTACATGCCTGTAATCCCATCTCCTCAGAAGGCTGAGGCAGGAGAATCGCTTGAGCCTCGGAGGTGGAGGTTGCAGTGAGCCAAGATTGTGCCACTGCACTCCAGCCTGGGTGACAGAGTGAGACTCCATCTAAAAAAAAATGAAAAACAGTAGGGATACGTCTGAGCAATGTGTCCTCAGGCAATTTGTCATTGTGCAAGGATCATAGAGTGTGTTTACACAAACCTACATGAAATACCCTGCTACACCCAGGCTGTGTGGGATAGCATAGTGCTCCTAGGTAACAAATCTGTATGTCATGTAAGTGTACTAAATACTGTGGGCAGCTGAATCACCATAGTAGATGTTTATACAGATGAACATATCTAAGCATGGAAAAAATGCAGTGAAAATACAGTATTATAATCTAATGAGACCTTTGTCATGTATGTGGCCTGTTGTTCACCCAAATATCAAAATGTGCATGATTCTATTCAAGTTGCTGAAAAAAAAAGCCAAAAAACTTCCAAATAAATATCTTACAGGGATTAAAGCTTTTCTTCAGTAATGCAGGATGTTTGAGAAGTTTCCCAAAAAAGTAAAAAGTCGACAAGTTCATCACCACTAGGCCGGCCTTACAGGAATGCCAAGTGTCTCTGGCAGGTTTCCTGAACAAGGAAGTAGCTGCATCAGCTCCACTCTGTTATCTGCCAATTGATAGATTTGCATAGTTTTTAATTTTAATTTCTCTTCTGTTTTTTCCCTCCATAAACTCCTTCTCCCTTCCTTTCATAATTCTGTCTATTAATGCAACTCATATTTAGCTGACAATGCTGGGGTCATTGGAATAAATTTCTATTTTTCCTCCACCAATTCTAATAAGCTGTCTCCAGGGGTGTCCATCTCCGTTTTCTTTTCTGCCATTCCCATGGGATAATTTCCTTGTTCCTATGTGAGTCCAGCCCTCATCACCACGGGCCATCCAACCATCATGCACCCAGGAACAGCTTCAGGAAATGTACCCTGCCAGCTGCCTATCAGCCTCCACCTGCACAGTGATCATTCCTTCAGCTTTCACTCAGGCCGGAGGGCTTTCCACCCAAAAGGGCCTTTCACACCCACTCCCAGCACAGTTCTAGGACCCTGTATACCTCCCAGATACAGGTACATATCCTTCCCCTTTGTTGTTAATTTTGTTTAATTTATTTAAAATTCACTGGGAAATCACTGATGATGGGAGTGACCAGCCTGTCCATTCCATTTTCTGTCCACCATCTGACGGCACCACCTGTGAGGTTGGCCACCCTAGTGTGCTGTGCTCATGGGGCCATCTGGACATACACAAACACCAGGTGTGTGAGTTATTAGAGGAGGCCCGGGATCAGCAGGTGGCTGTGCCCCACAGGACACAGGTCTGTCCTGCAGTAGAGCCCGCATGACCTGGAATCATACGTGTGCATGACCCGTGGTCTCAGCACATCAGCTGAGGCCAGCTTCAGGCAATTCCTGTGTAACCTGCCCTGGGCGCCCACAGAGGACAGATGCATGACAAGGATGTAAGGGAATGCTGCGGATTAGGGGAACTGAAGCTCAATCTTTACTAAGGCTTTACTCGGCACCTGGACCTTATGGAAGACTAAGAAGAAGAGAACAAGAGTCCAGCCCCAAATAGCTCCTGGTTTAGGGTCAGCTTTAGTGGGATTTTAGAGAGTAGAAGACACAGGGGTGATGCTGGAGTGGTTTTCTTTGGGATACTTGGGGCAGCAGAAGGTGGGCCGGGATCAGGACTCCATCTGGCTGGTTCTCATTATCTACATGGATTCTCATGGTGGAAAGTGAGAGACATGACCTAGAACACAGCCCCCAGGGCTGATCTCAGAGACGCCTGCTAAGTGAATGACTCAGCAGAAATGTGGTGGGGTTTTCATCTTGGATCTATTTTTCTTTATAAAAATAATCTGAGAGATGTGTCCAGCCTCAGTGGGCTGTTTCTCCCTCCAGGAGACAGAGCTAACACAATTGTATCTGTGAATCCGCTTGGCTTTCCATCAGAAGATACCACAGACTAGGTTGTTTCAAATAACAAATATTAATTTTCTTATTGTTCTGGAGTCTTGATGTCCAAGATCTGGGTGCAGAAAGGGATAGTATTTTGTTTTTTGAGAGGCCTCTTCCAGGCTTGCAAAGGGCCACCTTCTCATGCAGTGCATCCCCACATGGCCTCTCCTCTGTGTGCATGTGGAGAGAGAGGTCTCTGATGTCTTCCACTTCCCATAAGGACAAGAGTCCTACTGGATTAGGGTCCCACATTTATGGCCACAGTTAACTTATTTGCCCTCTTAAAATCCCTCACTCCAAATACAGAGCCACTGGGATTGGGGTTTCAGCATATGAATTTAAGAGAAGGACACGATGCAGCCAATGACGTCAATCAAGGGATAGTGAGAAGCCTTGAAATATTTTATTTGTCAAGAAGGTAAAATGGGCCTTGTGGGAATTTGTTGAAAAAAAGGTGCCAGTGACTGTTAAAACCTTAATGGTAAACAGAGAAATTTCTCCCTTCTTTCTTGCCTGCAGTGAGGATGTGAGGAAGCAGAACCACAAACAATAAAGAAAGAGGAGCCCTGGGGACAGCTGAGGTGCTGGCGAGGAGGGAGACCACTGAGCAGATGAGGAAGCCCCGCCCTCCCTGCCCCTGCTCCTGACCCGGCCTCATGCTCTGTGGGCCCCGCGCCCCCTGCTGGTCCTGAGCAGCACCTGCGTCCGCGCCCTCCGCCTCCTGGCAGGGAGGTTTGTGTCTGGGCTCACACTCACCTCCCCTCACTGTGTCTCTCGCACAGTAATACACGGCCCTGTCCGCGGCGGTCACAGAGCTCAGCTTCAGGGAGAACTGGTTCTTGGACTTGTCTACTGATATGGTGACTCGACTCTTGAGGGACGGGTTGTAGTTGGGGCTCCCACTATGATAGATTTCCCCAATCCACTCCAGCCCCTTCCCTGGGGGCTGGCGGACCCAGCTCCACCAGTTACTACTGCTGATGGAGCCACCAGAGACAACGCAGGTGAGGGACAGGGTCTCCGAAGGCTTCACCAGTCCTGGGCCCGACTCCTGCAGCTGCACCTGGGACAGGACCCCTGTGAACAGAGAGACCCACAGTGAGCCCTGGGATCAGAGGCAGCCTCCCCTATCTTCATGTCTGGATCCCTGAGATACTCACATCTGGGAGCTGCCACCAGGAGGAGAAAGAACCACAGGTGTTTCATGTTCTTGTGCAGGAGGTCCATGAGTCTCAGAAAGTATTTCCCATGTGAGCTGGACCCTGAATTTAAGGAAATGTGTGGTGGTTTCCTGTGGGTGCCTAAGCGAGGATTTGCATGTAGGTAGTGCCTTTGTATAAAGAGGTGAAAAGGGATGAGGGAGGCCCCAGTCTTTTAGGCTCACCCTGGGATGAGGATGCTTGCTTTGCCCTTTGAGAACTCAGTTCTCTTCCTGGGGCCTCAACTAGCCATGTCCTGGCTCCTCTTTTCCCAGGTGAGGAAGTAGATTGGAACAGCAGCTTAATGTAATAATCATGTGAGTTCAGACACACCAGGATTCACTTAATGTAATTTATAGTTCAGGACATCCATCATGTTTAGAGGGAATCTCTCTGTTCTAGGGAGTGGGCCACTTTTTAAAAGTGTTTAAATTAAAATAAATTTTTTAGATGAACTTTTGCTCCTTTGCGCAGGCTAGAGTGCAGTGGCCCGATCTCAGCTTACCGCAACCTCCACCTCCTGGGTTCAAGTGATTCTCCTGCCTCAGTCTCCCAAGTAGCTGGGAGTACAGACACGCACAACCACTCCCATCTAATTTTTATATTTTTAGTAGAGATAAGGTTTCACCATGTTGGCCAAGCTAGTCTCAACGTCCCGACATCAGGTGATCCACCCACCTTGGCCTCCCAAAGTGCTGGGATTACAGGCCTGAGCCACCATTTTAACTAAGGCACTGGGAGCTGCCCTCTGAGACCTTTTGAGTCCTGGAATTCTTTCTGAGACCTTAGGAGAGACTCGTGGGACATATCTTCATCATTCTCAATGTGTGACCCTGAGGATGTGGCCTGACCTCTGTACACTTCTGTGTGAAAGAGTAGATTGTGAATTGCAGTGACAATTTCATATGTAAACTCTATAATAGGCCAGCACTGGAGGATATTCTCATCACCAAGATTACTGCAGTTACCTTTCCTGGAAACCAGAGAGGAACTCTGTGAGCCCTCACCTCTGAGTGCACAAGGAACCCTGGTCCTGACTGACAGGTCTCACATGCGACATGGGGGAAAACAAATACATTCAAATCCAGTGTTTTCACCCATATATTGACCAATCTAGCCTGATCTATCTGTCTCTGAAAAGCCTTTTCCTTCATTGAATTGCATGAACATACCCTTGGGTATGGGGTATTGCAATGTGGGTATTTGGTGTTTGTTTAGTCAATTATGTAATTAATAGGCTACCTCCATGAATGTGTGTAGCAGTAGAGTTATCAGAAGTTGGGTGAGTCATATTATCAGGACAAACCTGGACTCTCTTCTTGGGACCTGGACAAGTGGCCAATCTTCTGTGGTAAAGCAAAGGGGAAGAGACAGATCCAACATCTAGAAGCAGGGTAGCTCCTCACTTACCAGCTGGTGTCTGGGCCTTTTGTTTGAACAGACCAAAACGACCTACCTTCACCTTCAGGGAAATGATGAACTTCGTATGAAATTGAGATTAATTTTCACTTACAGAGAAGAAAATGTCATAGGCATGTATATATCTATGTGGGTGTGTACGGGTTTCCACGATGTGCTCATACACAGAAAGGAAGCAACTATATTTGCCGGGAAGAGAACCGAAGGGCTTCTGAATTTGTAGGTGTTGTTAAGCACAAATGTGTCATGTTACTACATCATGTTATAGAGCTGGCGGTAAAACCTCCCAAAATTGTCATGGAGACAAATGCAAAGAAATAAAGATTCAAATCAGATGCCTTTGATCTGTAATGAACAGACCAAGAGAAATCAACCATTATGGAAAGAGTGATAGTTAAATGTAGTAGTAAATTCCACGCTGAGGTGAGAGGGAAGTTCCATCTGACAGCTCACTTTCACCTCTGCGAAAACTTCAGAGCACAGACTAAGAGCAGACAGTGAACTTAGGGCAAGTGGGGGCCAGATGTTTGAGGAGGCTAGAGAGTGAGCTGGAATCCTTGTGAGCCATTCGGAGAAGCAGCAGTGTGCAAGGGTGTATTGAGTCCTCCTGAGTTAACAGATGCTGAATAGATACCAGTTTCACTGCCCTCATTTTGATTTATCCTCAAGACTCTATTGGATTTCTAGATTTGAACACTGGAAAAGCTGATGAAACTCAACATGACTAGGAATATTTCTGGGAAGATTTATGTAATGATGTGAGTGTATTTAAAATTAGGTTATGAAAATTTCATTATCTAAAATGTTGGTATCAGTATCTATTAATTTGTTCTTTTTTTCTTAGAGACAGGGTCTTGCTCTGTCTCTCAGGCTGGAATGCAGTGTCATCTATGAATTTTATAGTATTAAAAATGATCACCCTGATTAATGTTACCATATTATGCCCTTGAGGGATTTTGCTCCATGTGTGCCTGTGACATAGTTCTAGTCACAGATGCAGGAGAAGTGGTCTGTTGAGGCAATTCTTCCTCCTCAGAGGAGAATATAAACTGTCATCTCCTCACCTTGCTTATTCCATTTTCAGAATTGCACATGACCTTTGGGAATGCTGTCACCATGTCTTACAGGGTGGGAGTCGACTGTGGTATGAAGGTGGAATGGAGAAGTGTAATTTTGGGAAAATACAGAACCTGGGCAGATAAAGTTTTGAATTAATTGGGCCTGGAGCCACTCACATCCTGGTGTCTTGTTGAATTGTTTGTCATTTTAAATTCTGGTTATTTAGTTCAAGTTTCCTTGATTCTCTTTCTGCTAAAATATTCATAATCATCTAAATAAACTGGAAAAAAATTACTAATTTGAAAATTAACCTCATTTCTGCTAAGGTCAAAATCAGTTTGCGAGGCACAGAGTGATGGGCATGGACATAGCAGATTACCAAGATTGCATTCACAGCCTAGGTAATCACTATGTTTTATTTTAATTAGGAAACACTTCTGTACATTCCTTATATTTATTAAACTCCTGTTGAGAAACTTCAACTGTTATATGTTGATAGATCCTCCCAATAATAAAACTAAATGTTTTAAAACAGGAATTCCTATTACAATGTTAGCTTTACTTTAGGACACATTTCTTCACCTCATTTGAAATTCGCCCAGATGCACTGATTACAGTGTGTCAGTTAAGAAACGACCAGGAAATGAGATCACGTTTCTGGAGCAGGACATGGCTTTGGGATGCTTTGCAAACAAAGTGGTTTCTCATGTCTTCTTGAAAATCCATTGAAATGGGGAAGTTAAGGACCTCTTAGAAGCACTCTTCCACCCCATATACTTGACTAATAAAAAGGTGGAAGTCAGTGCAGAAAAATAGATAACATGAAAGCTAAAGTAAGATTTGTACCAGTTCGTTGTGCCAAACATGTAATCTTAACCTAGAGTGGGATCTTAGCTGAACCCTCAGGAGGTAAATTTCCTGAGAGATTCAAAGATGTCTTTACAAAATAACAACACTTAGCCCCCGATTTTAAGTTAAAATAATGGAAAACTCCTGGTAATCTACTTCACTTAGTGTAAATCAGTTAAAAACAAAATTCTGGAAAACCTGTGAAGGTGGGACTTGCCGAGGAACTGAGCCTTGGGGGCCTTTGGACACTTTTAGTAGGATTTTCTTCAGCTTTGACTCTCCATGGAATTTGAACAAGTTTCATTTACTGTCTACTGTTTCTCTGAATGACTTGAAGTAATTACTTGACAAAAGCCTACAGCCTTCTCAGTTGATAAACATGTTTTATGTTTTCAACCTGTGACATGCCGATGTTTTCATCAGGTAACTGAAGCACAGCCACTACAGGAAGCAATTGTTATAAAGTGATTCTGTAAGGTATTTCCATTATCAAATGCTGAACCGCTATTACCAGCAACAATATTCTGCAAATGTTGAAAAAAATGGCATTGCTACATAGAATTAATCACAAATTTTAAAACATTTTCTTATATTTATTGTTTAAATTCATAAGCATGGAATGTTTATTTTTCCATCTATTTGTTTTATCTCTGATTTTTTTCACCTGTGTTTTGCTGTTTTTCTAGTAGAAATATTTCATCTCATTGGCTTAGCTCTATTCCTAGGTATTCCACTGTCTTGGTGGCTATTGGGAGAGCAAGTTCTTGATTCCACTCTCAGCCAGAACGTTGTTGGTGACTAGAAATGTTACTGTGATTTTTGTACATTGATTTTATATCCTGAAACATTCCTAAACTAATGTATCAATACTAGGAGACTTTTGGCAGAGCCTTCAATATTTTCTACATATAGAATCATATTATCAGTGAAAACAGAGGGTTTGCATTCTTCTTTTTCTTTTATTTGGATGCCTTTTATTTCTTTCTCTTGCCTGATCTGGTGAATACTTCCAGTACTAGGCTGAATAGAAGTGGTGAGAGCGGGCATCCTTGTCTTGTTTCTGTTCTTAAGGAAAATGCTTCCAGTGTTTGCCCATTCAGTATGATGTTGGCTGTGGGTTTGTCATAGACGGCTCATCAGATTGAGGTGTGCTCCTTCAATGTCTATAATTTTGAGGGTTTTTATCATGAAGCATTGTTAGATTTTATTGAAAGCTTTTTTTCCTGCATCTGCTGGGATACTCACATGGTTTTTGCTTTTGATTCTGTTTAGTAGAGCATCACATTTATTGCTTTGCATAGGTTAAAGCAGCCTTGCATCTGCAGAATGAAGCCTACTTGATTGCAGTGTGTTAACTTTTTGATAAACTACTGGATTTGATTTCCTACATTGAGAATTTTTAAGCCTATGATCATGAGAAGTATTTGTCTTGAGCTTTCATCTCTTATTGTGTCTCTGCCATATTTTGGTATAAGGCTGATGCTGGCTTCACAGATTTAGTTGAGAAGGAGCCTCTATGCCTTGATTTTCTTTGTGTAGCTTCAGTAGAATTGGCATCAGTTCTTTTTTGTATGTCGGGTAGAATTCAGCTGTGAATTCTTCTTGTCCAGGTTTCTTTTTCTTGGTTGGGTCTTTATTATTGACTCAATTTTAGAAGTTGGTTTCACTGTATTTAGGGTTTCAATCTCTCCCTGATTCAATATTGGGAGATTTTGTGCTTCCCAAAATTTACTCATTTCCTCCAGATTCTCTAACACGTGTGCATAAAGTTTATAGTAGTCTGAGAATTTGTGCATTCTTCTGGGATCAGTTGTAATATCCCCTTTGTCACTTTTGATTGTACTTATTTGGATCTTCTTTTTCTTTATCTTTCTAAATCCAGACAGGTGACTATCAGTCAATCTTTATTTTACAAAGAAGAAACTCTTGGGCTTATTGATATTTTGTATGCATTTTTGTATCTGAATTTCATTCAGTTCTTCTCTAATTTTCCTTTTCTGTGCTAGCTTTGAGATTATTTTAGTTCCTTTAGGTGCAAGGTTAAGATTACTAATTTGAGAACTTTCTAACTCCTTGATGAAGTCATTTATGACTATCAACTTTTATGGTGCCCAAATAAATTACCAGATTCAATGCTATTACTATAAAACTACCAACATTATTTTTAAAGCATTAGAAAAAAAACTTTTAAAATTTATATGGAATCAAAAAAAGAGTTTTAAAAACAAAAGCAATCTTAAGTAACAAGAATACATTCAAAGGTATCCCACTAGAAGACATCAAATTATGCTACAAAGCCACAGGAACCAAAATAGCTTGGTACTTATACAAAAAGAGACACATAGACGAGTGAAAGGGAATAGAGAATTCTGAAATAAAGCTGCACACCTACAACCATCAGATCTTAAACCAAGACACTAAAAACATGCAATGAGGAAATGTATCACTATTCAATAAATCGTGCTGGGATAACTGGCTAGCCATATGCAGAAGATGGAAGCTAGATGTCTACCTTTCACCATTAACAAAAATCAACAAAAAATGGAGTAAAGATTTAAGTATAAGACCTCAAACTATAAAAATCTTGGAATACAACCTAAGAAATACTCATCTAAAAATTGTTTTGGGCAAGAAAATTTTGGCAAAGTCCCCAAGAGCAGTTGCAACAAATCAAAATTCTGTCTGTGGCACCTTATAAAACTAAGGAGCTTCTACAGAGCCAAGAAACTATCAAGAGAGTAAGCAGAGATCCTACAGAATGGGGGAGGCTATTCACAAACTATGCATCTGATGAAGGTCCAATATCCAGATTCTATAAGAAATGTAAATCAACAAGCAAAAATAATAATAATAATCACATTTTAAAAATAGGCAAATGACATGAGCATAAACTTCTCAAAAATACATAAAGTGGCCAGGACATATGAAAAAACGTTTAACGTCACTAATCATCAGAGAAATGCCAATCAATCAAAACCACAATGAGATGCTGTCTCACACCAGTCAAAATCAGTATTACTAAAAATTAAAAAAAAAAAAAAACAGATGCTGGTGAGGCTACGGAGAACAGGAAACGCTTGTACAGTGCTGGGTGGAATGTGAATTAGTCCAAGCACTGTGGAAAGCAGTCTGGAGAGAGGCTGCGGAGAACAGGAAACACTTGTACAGTGTTGGGTGGAATGTGAATTAGTCCAAGCACTGTGGAAAGCAGTCTGGAGTGAGGCTGCAGAGAACAGGAGACACTTGTACAGTGTTGGGTGGAATGTGTATTAGTCCAAGCACGGTGGCAAGCAGTCTGGAGTGAGGCTGCGGAGAACAGGAAACACTTGTACAGTGTTGGGTGGAATGTGAATTAGTCCAAGCACTGTGGAAAGCAGTCTGGAGATTTGAAAAGTATTTGAAGCAGAGCTGCCACTTGGTCCAGCCATCTCATATGTGGGTATATACACAAAAGAAAATAAATCAGTCTACCAAAAAATACACCCACTTACATGTTCATTGCTATGTTACTCTTAATACTTAAGACATAAATCCAACCTATGTGTCCATTAATGGTGAATTTGATCAAGAAAATATGGTACATTTACACCATGGAACACTATGCATTCATAGAAAAAGAATAAAATCATGTCTTTTGTGGCAACATGGATGCAGCGGGAAGTCAACATTCTAAGAAAGAGATGATGAGAGTCAATGGGAGATGAAGCTGATGTTTTGGGTGTGCCTGTGTGTAAAATTGAGAAAAGAAATCACCTGGGCACATAGACTCTTAAAATAGCCAAGTCTGGAGCCACTCATATCCCAGTTTCCATTTCATTAGGTTTTAATCTTCCTCATTTTTAGTGAGTTAAATTTGCTTTTCTTTACTCTTGGCTAAAATAACCACACATCCTGAATTAGAGGCATTGCAATCAAAACGTCGTATTTGAAGCTTCCAAGTCCCAAGTTAGGTCAAAGTTAGTATGGGATTCAGTGTGATAGATAGGAGACATGGCTGGATACTAAGAATGGGCTCAGAGTTATTTTACCTAAATTAGGAAAATTTGTTCACTTCCCTTATATTAGATTTCATTGGAAACCTTTGATCTAATATCATCTCTGATAGATTATACCTCAATAATTAAGCTGGAGGTTATGAATTAGTAATTTAAATGAATAGTGGAAACCTCCATTTAGAATATATTTCTCTACCAAGTGTAAAGTTAGCTCAGATGGCAGAAATAACTGCACTCAGCAGAGCTTGTCAATAAGGCAAAGACATACACAAACACATTTATTGCAAGGGTAGTGCATGACTTTGAAGTGATCTGACTTTGAAGTGACACAAAAGGATTCTCACATCTTCTAGAACACATCAAAATGGACAAGGGAAGGAATTGTAAATGCAGTCCTAAGTCCTAGAGACCTGACTAATATAACATAGGAAGTAAAGGCAAAGAAAAAAGTAGCATAAAAACTAAAATATATCTGTAACTCTATCTATCCATCTATGTATTTATGTGTCCAACTATATCTCTATCAAGGTACGTATGTATGTATGTATGTAGGCATCTATCTTCTATCTGTTTATCCATAGTAGTGGATCATTATGCAAAGCAAGCAGCTCTAAAATTGTTTATAATACTATCTAAAATAGCATAATTGGGTGGAGAGACCAGTGCGTTCTCATTTTTAATGTAATAAAGTTACATACAATTAGATACATAAGTAGTTTCAATGAGTCCATAAACATGGGTTCATATAAACATGTACATTTACTAGACATATAGGTTGAGAGGTCCTAGAAGTACTTATAACACCTTAACAACACACATATCCAGTATCACAATTTTTAATTTTAACACTATTCTTTAACATCGGAAATAATCAATCTTTAGGAAAAACGGCTAATCCTATGTATGAGAAAGATAATGTAGAAAATGAACTTAGAATTAATTGTAATATCAGGAAACAGGGAAGTGTTCAAAAACAAAAGGATGAGGTGTGCTGTAAGGATGCAGGATCCAAACTAAATGAGCTCCTAGCACCTAATAAAGCGGTGGTGACATGAACAATAAAATGAATGATGTAGCAAGGATCATCTTCAGAGCATGAAATAGACATCCGTAAACTAATATGGATATTAATAGATTATTAAATAAATAAATAATGGGAAGAAGAACACATCTCTTTGCAGAAGTATTCCAAATATGTTAGCTTGATAGTCCTGTAATCAAGTGAGTGAAGCTTAAACACTCATGAGTTGATTGTGGCCTGAGATTAGAGACATGGAAAAAAAATCACTATTATTGTATTTTATAATGGGATTTCAGATATAATGCCAAAGACATGATCTGTGGATGAATAAAATTTTACATTTTTAAAATCTAAATTGGTATAAACATGCACACATATTTTTCTGCAATACACGCTAAGGGTGTAAAAGACAGCCACAGACTTGGAGAAAATACTTCCAAGTCACGTATTTGTTAAATGAGTTATTTTAGTTTGTTAAATCACTTTTATAATTAATATGCAAGTTAACTTACAACTAATCAAAAGAAAACAATGCATTTAAAAATGAACTAGATCTCAGGCAAGGTACCTCACCAAAGATTATTTGAACATTTTTAAGTAGGAACTTTTTATTAGGGACATGTACGTGTAAATAAAAATTAGATACCATTACTCACCTATTAGGATGTTTAAAACACACAATTCTCATAATGAAAAATGGCAATATGAATGTGGAAAATCAAGAACCATCATGCATTGATGGTGGGAATTCAAAATGCTACATGCACAAAATGAGGTTTTGGGGGGCATTTTTAAAATAGAGATAAAAGTAGAGTTAAAATTTGATTCATTTGTGTGTTCCAAAATATTTACAACAGTGATTCAGAAATTGATGTTTACAAAGATACCTACAAAGGAAGTTCTGTATCAGTTTTATTAATTCAATCCCTGAAATTTGCTTACAGAATAAATGTTGTATGAAAAATCTTTCAAATAATTAAAATTTCTCAAATACACATTTATATTGTTCCTTTTCTTTAGTGACTTAATGTTATTTTCTGAGAAAGTCTTCAATCTAATAATCTTTGTCATCTCCTCCATGCCAGCACAGCTGCCTCCTCCCTGGGGTTTCTGACACTCTCAGGATGTGGGTTTTCACTCTGTGTCTCTCGCACAGTAATACACGGCCATGTCCTCAGATCTCAGGCTGCTCAGCTCCGTGTAGGCTGTGCTCATGGACGTGTCCCTGGTTATGGTGACTCTGCCCTGGAACTTCTGTGCATATGTTGTGTTACCATTGCCAGCATTGATCCATCCCATCCACTCAAGTCCTTGTCCAGGGGCCTGTCACACCCAGTGCATAAAGTTGTTGGTGAAGGTGTATCCAGAAGCCTTGAAGGAGACCTTCACTGAGGACAGAGGCTTCTTCACCTCAGCCCCAGACTGCACCAACTGGTCCTGAGAGTGCGCACCTGTGGGGAGGATACAGTAGTGGATGAGATCTTTCAGAAATGGACACAATCCCCTTCTCATCACTGGGACTTGGGAGTCCCTTACCTGTAGCTGCTGCCACCAAGATGTTCCTCCAGGTCCAGTCCACGGTGAGGCACTGAGCTCTAAGGAGATTCTGCAGAAGAGGCATGTGGTTGTTGGATGATGTGCTTAGGGCACAGACACATCCATATTTACCTCAGTGCATCTCAGGTTATTTGCATATTCATGAGACAGACGATTTCATAGCTCAAAGCCTGATACATGATAAGAAAGGGAAGATAAATGACACATCAGCCTTACAAGAGTGAGATGCAAATGGTCTAAGCCCTAATCTTACTTGAGAAAATGCATGCCCTGCTCTATTTACCAACATTTGTGTACAGAGGTCCTTTCACTGAAGAATAAGCCCTCTCAGAACAGGCTCCTCACTGTGAACCTACATGTGATTAGTATAGAGGCCGCCTGGATTATTTTTGGGACCATCACTGTCTATGACACTGAGCACGTGCCTTGGCCCTATCCTGGACCTGTCAGGCACCAGCACAGCTCACTGGTGACTCTGGAAAGGTGACTGCTGATGTCCCTCTGAGATCTACTGGGCCCTCCTGAGACAGTGTCTCCAGCACGTGCCTCATGTCCTGATCCCCCAGGATCTTCAATAGAAACGCTCTTGTTTTACGTATTTGCCCTGTGATGCATAATTACAGCTGATTTTCTCATCTCAGGAACAATGGGAATCAGAAGAGGTAACAGGAGTTTGAAGTTCTTTATGAACTCTCTACTCTCAAAATAATTGTCAATGAATTTGTGTTTTGAATAATTTTGGGTTACTTTTCAACTCCATTTATTAGATTTTTGTAAAGTATTTACATACTTCCAGTTCATATCCATAGATCTGTATCTTTACATATTGATTTTTGACTCACTTGGTCTGTGCACCTGCCACACCCTCAGATCCATCACTGCCCTGTCATTCACACAATGTAGGCAACATTACTTAACACTGAAATCTGAATTTCTTATTCATAGGAATATAGTTTCTTCAACTAATCGGTACCCATTGAATTAGTAAAAACATGCCCATCCTTCATATTCTCACTATTAAGATATTACAGTCCTAGAAACTCACTTTAAAAAATAGCTCTCATTATCTTAAGTTATATGAATGGTTTGGATGTACTAGAATATTTAAAGCACGTCAGCTACTTCTTGAACAGTTATTTTAGATTGTTTTTTTCCTGACAAAGGAAGACCAAGGCCCTGAGAGAAAACCTCCTCCCCGGCCTCCTGTGCACCTGCTCTGGGGCTGGAACTTGTGCTTGGTGGCTCCCAAGTGCCCCCTCCAGCCGAGCCCTTGCCTTGCCATGAGGTTTCTGTTGTAGCTCACAGGCATTTTACCCCACAGTCTCTAGCTCAGCATGAAGTGGGTGTGTCCTGGTTTAGAATACTCCTTCAGTAACACAATGTACTGAATACTCCTTCAGTGACACAATGTACTGCTGACACCATGTCTTTTAAGAATTGAAGAGCCTTATTAAACCTATTTAACTCTACAGGGAGACCCAAAGCAAATATTCTGTGACACAGAGTGGAACACCTTCTCTGAAACTTCACATTTCCTGAGTCAGTGGACACGAAATGAATACAAAAACTTGTAGGATTTTGGGAGTGCCTTGTTTCGTCCTTGAGCTCTTGCAGTTGAATGTTACATCTAAGAATACCTGCAGGTTCAAATACACTCAGAATAAAACCAACTTTGTATCTACTATTCCAATAACACATATTTTTCTTTCTTCTTAGTTTCTAGCCTATAAAAATTGCCTCCTACACTGACACTAGGCCTAGGCTTATTTTTTTTTATTATTATACCTTAAGTTCTAGGGTACGTGTGCACAACGTGCAGGTTTGTTACATATGTATACATGTGCCATGTTGGTGTGCTGCACCAATTAACTCGTCATTTACATTAGGTATATATTCTAATGTTATCCCTCCCCACTACCCCCACCCCACGACAGGTCCCGGTGTGTGATGTTCCCCTTCCTGTGTCCAAGTGTTCTCATTGTTCAATTCCCATCTATGAGTGAGAACATGCGGTGTTTGGTTTTTGTCCCTGCGATAGTTTGCTGATAATGATGGTTTTCAGCTTCATCCATGTCCCTACAAAGGACATGAACTCATCTTTTTGTATGGCTGCATAGTATTCCATGGTGTATATGTGCCACATTTTCTTAATCCAGTCTATCATTGATGGACATTTGGGTTGGTTCCAAGTCTTTGCTATTGTGAATAGTGCCACAATAAACATACGTGTGCATGTGTCTTTATAGCAGCATGATTTATAACACTTTGGGTATATACCCAGTAATGGGATGGCTGGGTCAAATGGTATTTCTAGTTCTAGATCCTTGAGGAATCGCCATAGTCTTCCACAATGGTTGACCTAGTTTACAGCCCCACCAACAGTGTAAAAGTGTTCCTATTTCTCCACATCCCCTCCAGCACCTGTTGTTTCCTGACTTTTAAATGATCGCCATTCTAACTGGTGTGAGACGGTATCTCATTGTGGTTTTGATTTGCATTTCTCTGATGGCCAGTGATGACGAGCATTTTTTCATGTCTGTTGGCTGCATAAATGTCTTCTTTTGAGAAGTGTCTGTTCATATCCTTCACCCACTTTTTTGTCTTAGAGATCTAAGGCAAATAGAATACAAGTGGAGACTTGGGAAGTGCATGAATAGTTTTTTTTTTTTTTTGAGATGGAATCTTGCTCTGTCGCCCAGGCTGGAATGCAGTGGCACGATCTCGGCTCACTGCAAGCTCTGCCTCCCGGGTTCACGCCATTCTCCTGCCTCAGCCTCCCAAGTAGCTGGGACTATAGGCGCCCGCCACCCTGCCTGGCTAATTTTTTGTATTTTTTAGTAGAGATGGGGTTTCACCGTGTTAGCCAGGAAGGTGTCGATCTCCTGACCTCGTGATCCACCTGCCTTGGCCTCCCAAAGTGCTGGGATTACAGGCGTAAGCCGCAGTGCCCGGCCAAGTGCATGCATTTTTTTTCTCAGCTAGGAACCCTGCAAATGCCCTATGATAAAAGAATCTGAGGTCAATGGATTTGCCAATATCTTTTCTTCAAAAAATATATGTCAGAGGCTTCAGATTTCCCTACTGTCCTTGTCATATTCTCTGCCATTGTGTTTCAGTTTTCCTATGTTCTCCTCAGATAGAGTCTGCGCATTGTCACACTTTCATCTTTAACCCAGATTAACTATCCTGCTGAGAAAACAAAACGTGCATCCTGGAAGTATTATATGTTCTTACAATTGAATCTTAATAATTCAGTCATCTTTTTTTCTCTGGGCTGTGGCCTATACACAGAGTCTCCAGAAATGGAACTGACACTTTCCTTTTTCTGGCTACAACATTATAGGATTATTTCTCTATTGGCTAATTTTATCCACTTTTGTGATAAAGGAAGGCTGCTTGAAGGGGTCTGTAATGGAGATGGACTACCTTAACCAACATAGATAATGTTCTAGATATGTATTTCTCCTGTATGTTCTATCTGGATATATTTATTGTGTATTTCTCAGAGAGTAGGAATTTTGATGACTTATCCAGGAAAGGATCTATGTCAATTTTCACCCAAAGAAATATAAATGAGTTTGGGGTCTATGAGATCTCTCACCCTCACACTAGTTCAGACATGCCCTTTCTGTTTATTTAGTTCAGATTTACATATAACAAACCACACAGCCAGGCTCATCTAAATTGCCACATGCTTGTTTAAACACATTGGAGCAGCATTAATCCTCACATTAATCTCAGAGAATCTTGGTTCCAGTCCACTGTTTACGTTAGTTGAGAGCAGCATCAGGGACACACTGGAGTGGATATTTCTTCCCGAAAAAAGCCTCACTCCCAAGTATACTAAAGAGTTGCCATGGAGCCATTGTGTGGTTGGATTTCTTCTTATCAGCCTGTCATGGAGGATATTTTGAATGATGTAGACTTTACACTTAGATGGTAATGACTCCCATTGTTGTTGAAATGGCTGGCAGCCCACAATCCTGTTTCTCCTCTCAACTCACCTGAATGTCTCCAAGAATCCCATGAACCTCAGGACTCTCCTTGTTAGATGACTCTGAGGATTGTTAGTCTGCTCAGTGCTACACACAGAGGTAGCTAATAGAGGATTCTCAGTCCACTGACATGTTGGGCTCATAACATAGGACACATATCCAAGAGTGGCCAATTCATGGCAATGCCAATAGATATTTAATTGAAGAGGCATTATTTTTAGTGCATCGGAGTGTGAAAGCTTCATGATTCATGGCAATAAAGCCACAGACTGAATGCTTTGCAGAAGTGAGCTCATTGTTAGAAGAGGCCTGCCCACCAAGAAGTCAGTCTCTTTAACTAAAGCACTTGAAAAATGGTGTCCTGAGACCTTGTGAAAATTCATTTCCTGGAGTAAAGAAAGGGGAAAGCTATTCTTAAATCATTGGAAGAAACCATATCAGAAATTTTATCAACACAGCAGTCAAATTCCAGTAAGTCAATGCTTGGGTTTATGTTTCACAACTCAGGAAGCAATAAAGAAATCTACATAATCGGAAGGCTACTCCAACAGAGGGAATTTTGACCTATTTAATTAATAGGCCAGTATTCACTCAAAGACACACTCCTGTGAGATCTCCAACTTAAACAGATCTCTGTAACCTGAAGAAGTTTTCTCAACAGATTCTTTTTCTCTAGACACTCGCAAATGCAAAAATACATTTTGTATATTTGTGCATGAGTGATCTAGAGAAGTCCTTGTCTTGTTAATGAAAGTTCATGGAAATATGATAACTGCATCACTTACTGTGAACTCACACTTCACTAGTCTCAAAAATTTCTCACCCATGTGATGGAGCAATGGGTGCCTCTAAGAATATGCTGATTTTTGGACTCAACATGTTCTCTTTGCTTGACTTATAGACCCATGTCTGACATCTGAGACACACCCTGGGGAGCTGTCTCCAGATAACAATAATGTAATCTTCTTCATGAACACAACTCTGCATTCCCCACATACCTCAGCCACACCTTAGGGGAGAGGTGTTAACTTCACCGTCCAAAAGCATTTTATACCCTGGAGCCTGAAAAATAATTTGGATGTGATACCACCTTGTACTTGTAATATAGAGGGCAGAGGTCAGCATCCCCCTGGATTTGAATGTGTTTTATTGTTGTATTTATTTTCTTGCAGACATGAATTACTTGCTTGACAAAAACTACAGCCATGCCAGTTCATAAAATTTTCCTTATTCTGATTTTCCCATCTGTGGCATTTGAATTTCAATATTAAGTGAGCGATGTGCATACCTCACAGGAGCAATTACAAAATAACTCTTTTTAGCTCCTTAGTGTTACTCAAATGCTGCACTGTCCTTACTGCCAAAAATCTTCTGGAAAGTTTTAAGTAAAACTGAATCATATGTTGCATCCTTAAGTTAAAAGTTGCATAACATTCAGAAACACATGAACTTTTTTGCTGAAGGTACATCTGCTAAAACTTACAACACAGGGTTTGCTTTCTCAAGGACACAAACGTTATCACCGTATGACTTGATTCATCAAAAGCCCACCTATTTTCAATTACATCTTCAATATTAGACTCCGATTCATTAAATGCAGATGTAGCAAAGCATTCTAGGGGATTGACGTGCTATGCAGAAGCATTCAACAGGATGTTAAAGATGCCTTCCCACCAAATCTTCCTAATTATCTTTTTATTGTCATCAACTTGGAAATTCTTTATTTTAGAAGAGACATCAGAAAAAAGCAGCTTCAAACATTGTCAAAAGGCCTTATTATTTAACGTTATCAACAAATGCAGCAGTAACTCCAGGATGTCAATTCACAGGTTTATGAAGTGAAAATGGATGGGTTACAAAAGTTGTTTTGAGAGAACGATCCTGTAGTTGTAGAATCAATACCAAGGGTGGCATCAGTGTAAGGTTGAAGTGGCAGTTTCTGGGATGATGTCCTTGCAAAAGTAATTTTTTTATAAGGTGGTGGTGTCTTCTTCCCAAGATTGTGGTTAAGCAGAGTATATTTATGATAGTTCTTGTTATCAGGAATATGGGCTTAAGAACCCTCCTTCATGGTCACTCCTAGTTTCATTTGTCAGAGTTTTAATACAAGTGGCTCCATTTTGATTTTGACAACTTTCCCACTCTCTTTCTAACACTACTGGGGGGAAGGTGACCCTGTGTTAGCTTGAACAGCACAGGATAAATTCCATATCCACATCCCATTTTGACCACACAAGCTCATCCTCTTCACAACTATTGGCCACTTGCATTCCCAAGTGAGTCTCTACACAACACAGTGGAGGGTTCTGAGCAACGGGAGAGAAGGAAGTCCCATCAGCCTCTCCCACGTGGCTGCAGGAGCCACAGTCTGAGCCCCACCTGAGCTGCAGGGAAAGGGCTTGAGCAGTGGACTTTTTACAGCAAGAACCACATCTCCACTTTACAGGGATCAGGAACAGCAAAAGGAAAATCAACAACTAAAACAACTAACAAGAAATAGAATGTGCTAGGAGCAAAAGCAGCCCCTGATCAGCGCTGATACTGATTTGCATACTTTAGTGTCAGAAGAAGGGTCAGAAATAAAACCTGTGAGGTTCTACGTGACCCTGACCCTGGCCCAGCCTCTCTCTTGGCTGAGGTTAGAATTCCTAAATACTGTTTTCTTCAGGGAACCCCACTGAGGTCCCTGTCCTGAGTGTGACTGGAGAAGACTCACCGGGTTCCACTCAGCTTCCACAGGGCTGTGGCCCTGGTGACCACTGGCAGAGGGATTGTTCTGCATTTAGTGCCTGTAAGAAGGTTTCCTCCTGGTACAACAAAACTGTGGTATTTCAGAGACGTAGAGCTAGGCACAGCATCATGAAATAAGGGAGGGTCCCTGGAGGAAACATGTAGATGTAGAGGCAGCCCCACACCCTGGCAGTAAACCAGCCTCTCATCTCCACCCACACCTGCTCTGGGGCTGGCCCTGTGCTTCCTGCAACCTGCTCTTCCCCTGGTGGTCTTGAGTCCCCCTTGTGGTCCTGAGTCTTGCTGGCGGTCCTCAGTGCCCTGACAGCAAGTTTTGTGTCAGGGCTCACAAGGACACCTCCTCACTGAGTCTTTCACAGTAATACTCAGCCATGTCCTAGCCAGCCATGGAGCTGAGCTTCAGAAAGAACTGGCTCTTGGTTGAGTCATTGTTGATGGAGATGCAGACCTGGGTAAAGGGTGCATGATGTGTATTCCTTGGTGATCTTGATGATGATCTTGGTGATCATGATGTGTATTCCTGGTAACTGTGCCCCAGCCATTCTAATCTGTTGCCTAGGGGATGGTGGATTCAGCTCAAATAATATTCACTGGTAAAAAAAAGAACCCAGACACAGCACAGGTGGAGGGCAGTGTCTGAGGGCCTCATGGGTCCTGGACCTGACTCCTGCAGCTGCACCTGGGACAGGACACCTGGAATAAGAGGGAACATCCTGGTGAGTCACACAACGAGCTCACTTGTCCCCATCACCCCATTTCTTATTTCTAGATTCTGACACTGAAAAACTGTCATCCATCAAAGACATGTAAAAAGTTGATCTAATTGAGAGACAGATTAACGCCTTTCATGGGGAAATTGTGCTCAGGCTGATGACAGAGCAGTATCTAGGGAGGAGAGAGGCTGACAACACCCAGCATTGTTCTCCTAAACAGAGTTTGAGGAGAAGTGTGCATGTGCCAGGAGCCCCACATATATAAGGGGTAGGAACCACGGCGACCCTCTGTCTCAGAGCCTCTTCTCAGGGGTGATTTTCCTGCTCAGGCATCAGATCAATCACACAGACTCTTCCTCCTCTGAAAGAGCATCCCTCTGCTGAGTGTTCAAGGCATCCATTGTCACCCCAAGGGCAGGAGGGCAGGTGACAGAAACAAGCAGGTTTGCTGGACAGAGAGGGAAGAATAGGAGTAGGAACGGGGGAAACACATGGTGCCCAGGACCTGTGGCCTACAGTCCTCCTGCTTCTTTCGGGTTCCCAGCTGGAGATAGTACACTGTGAACTTTCCTGGCAGTCGTGCTTCTGGAGGGAGGATTAGGGGAAATGCTGAGTAAGTTCTCCTCTTTGCTGAGCACAGAGTTTTCACTCTCTGTGGTATGTGGTTTTATCCCTCCCCGGTTGAGTCACCCCTGCTCATCCCTCCCTGTTGCTCCCCAGGTTTTGCTTCTTTGCTTATAGGAGAACTGACAACAGCGAGGCAAGGGATTGGGTTAGGAGGCCAAGGGCAAGTGTGGCTCCTCAGTGAAAAATGTCAAATGTAAAGTTGAGTTCCCTTCCTCTTTCCTATAAGAAAGGCTAGGGTTTGGAAATACGAGGGTCTGGAGGAGGTGACAATTGGTTCCCTTTCCCCCAAAAGAAGCCAGCCAACCAGAAATTGCTTCTTAAGAGCCTGATTTGAGACTGAGACTAAGAAGTCCAGTGGCTAAGAAGTGGTCTTTGCCCCCAGAGAGTTTGAGGTCTAATAAATTGTTATATTGTGTGGCAGAGACTGTGTGTGTTATGGAAGGACGATGGGAAAAGATGGGTATGATGAGCTGCAGCTGGCAGAAAACTCTTGGAATATGCTGGTTTTACAAGGACAAATAGGATATGTGTGTGTGTCTGTGGAAATGGAGCAGGAAGTGTGTAGCATCTGACCATGGAGTCACACTGACCTGGGCTCAAACTCCAGCTTCTCAGTTACATTCATTCATCCATCCATCTATTCATTCATTCAGCTTATAGTGATGGAGGGTCAGGAACTGTTGTAGGTTTGGGGAACACAACAGACAACACCCCTATTCTATGGAACTTTCATTGCAGTAAGGCTGCAGAGTGACCTTGGGCAACTCAACCGCCCATCCCTTAGCTTTCAAGCTGCAGTACTGCCCCCCACCTTACAGGCTGTGGATTCCAAAGAGCCGTAATGATGATGATAAAATAAGTACTATTTATTCAGCACTAACAACCTACCAATACTCTGCTAAGCATTTTGCAAGGATAATTTCCTCTACTCTTCACAACTTCCCCAGGGGACAGGGTTTTACAGGTGTGGAAACTGAGGCTTACAGAATTGAAATAATGATCCAGAATCAAGTGACAGAGACAGGATTCAAACCCAGCAATCATAACCACTGCAGTCAAGGTGGCCCACCTGAAGTGTGTTGGGAGTGGCTGGAACTGACACCTGAGGGGCTCTGTGACCCAGCAGAATTCTGTGCTTTTCCTGGGGAGAGCTTCTTCTAGGAAGAGGTGGCCACGACAGCTGATAGAAGGCTGTGACCTGAGTGCAAGCCTCATGCCAGCCACCTTCTGTATGTGAGACCGTGCTGCTTGCCAAAAGCTGTTAGTTCCTTCCATTCTGGCTGGCTGGGAGAGATTTCTCATGGTTGCGCGTGGGGAGAGTTGACATGTTTATGTGGAGGTAATGACTGTGTTGGCTCCTTAAGGAAGAATTAGGATGAGAGCCCAGTTCCCTGTTTGGGGACTTGAACTTAGATTCTCTGGTGGCCTGGAAAAGGTGGATACCTTGCAGGTTAATGTAGGAAGTTACCATCCCATGACAATTTTATTTTACTCTTCTTTCCTTTGCCCATTAGCTACTGCAAACTTAAAATTACCTATAGTGGAGAGTGGTAGTAGTCTACTTCAAAAACAGCAAATTCCCAGGGATTTGCCCTCACTTTTGGAATCTTAGCTAAATATTTTTTTCTCTATGGGATCACCCTCTTTTGCATCTGACTGAGGCAAGCCTTAAAGATCAAGCCGATGTCAGAGCAGAGGAACTGCTGTTTGGTAAGGATGCCTCAGAGATGAAAAGGGGAGGAGGGTGGTCTCAGAGAACCAGAAGAGGATTGGGAAAGTTGGCCCTGGAAGAGGACTTCTCACTCCTTCCCCAAGCCTTGCCCTGTCTCTTGACCTCCCTTGACTCCCTGCTCTTCCAGGTCAGCTTTGTCCATGCGCTGGACTGAATATTGCCAGCAGGTAGTCATAAGGACCCATGCAATCCCCCAAATCAATACTGAATACAAAGAAAGCTGTTGTTTCTGCTTCTCTGGCAGGAGAATAGGAAGTGACCACTGGCTTGAGAAGGGCTATGCTACCAAAGTAAACCATCACGGGACTGGTTCTGAAATGATCCAATTCCCTGTCTCTTTAGGATGAATCTCTTTAATCCAAGTACATTAAATTGGAATGTAGTGATCATTCAGATTCAACTAATGTTTATTTTATGAAGTGGCTACTATGAACCAAGCACTGGGATAAAGCTTTAGTACAGTTAGGCCATTTTATTCACTTGAAGAGCAAAGGGCTCAAAGTTTACCTTTCCATGATCTATGAGAAAAAAGGTTTACCAAGCAAATGAGTGCTATATGCAAGATTGTCAAGGTGAGGTTTTAAACCACTTACAAGGACAAACTGCTTCCCAGAAGCCTGCCAATGCTTCTTAAGTACTCCCTTGTGTGGGCAAACACAGATCCAGGAGACAAACGGGAAGGACCTAGGACAAAAAGTCAGCAGGCTAGATTCCACTTCTAGTTCTGCACTGAAGTAGTCACATGCCTGCTATTGCATGGTGTCATCTAGTCCCCATTTCTTGTCCACAAAACTAGCATGAGCCCCCCACAAAAGCCTTGCTGAGCAAGGGGTTCAGTGTGCCCCTTTTGCATAAAAAAGGGAGAAAATAAGAATAAACATGCACACACATTTGTATTTGCTTCCATGTTCACAATGACATCCATAAGCTTATTCAAGAAATTAATAATCATGGTTACCTATGGGGAGTGGAGAGGTAGGAGTGAGACCTGGGCAGATGGAGACATAGATGGGAGGAAGATTCCTCCCCAAGGATATATTGGGTTTTGTTGAACCGTAGGAATACATTACCCATTTAAAAATTTAATTCGTGGGAAGGGCCTCCTAAAATCCAGACATAATACTATGTAGAACTTCCAAACAAAAAGAAAGTCACGTTGGCATTACCTGTTCTATTATACTGATGTTGGCTCTTCCTAATCATTCGTTTTTTTTCTAAGTGCTCCCACTATCCTTAAATTGTTCATTTCTAGATTCTTGCCTGGGGTGGATGATATTCCTCAGTGCCAGGTCACTGGGCAGAGATTTTTCACTGTATTGGATCTCTTCTGCTTTCTCTTTCTTATTTGTGAAAATATGTGTGCATACAGACATACACACATGTGCACACACACATGCACGTGCACACACACACACACACACGAGCTGACTCCCTTAAACCAGGTAGCTGACCTCCATGGGTCCACACTCTAGGTCCAAACTCAACTGAAGGAAAGTGAACTGAAGGAGGCATTTGTGAATTTGATTCTCCAACCTAAGGACTTTGCTTTTCAAACCAAGGGTGTTCAGAAGGGCACAGACTGCAGAACATGAAGACTTCTGTTACCATTAACATAGTTCCCTGGCTCCATGAGGCATGAACAGCCTCTCTGAGAATGCACCAACAACTCAGCACGCCTTGTAAACAGGCCATAATTATAGAGCTTGGTTTTGACTTTTTTTCCAGGGCCTTAAAGTTGATATATTTTTACATTTCCCTGGATTGGAGGGTAGGGGGCATGGCTTTGGGTTTAGCATTTGCTCTGCTGATTATCTGTGAAAAACCTTGGCAGTGCTGTGGGGAATTGGTGCGGTGGGGAATGGAGGCTTGAAGAGTCAGTTGACCTGCAGACCAAGATAGAGCTGAAGGTGGAAACTTGGATGAAACCTTTAGGCTGTCCCTTCCAGTCCTCAGCGAGAACCTAGGGATCACCATGTGCAATGCTATGTGGATGTGGCGTGTCACACCACAGGCACCAGAGGGAGTTTCTGAGGTTGCAGAGGTGACTGGGCAATATCTTCCAAGCTCCCTGGTGTATTCTGGTTTGGCCAAGCAATGTGTTGCTGCAAGAGCTGAAGGAAAAGTCAACACATGGGAAGGAAAAGCAATCCATTGGGTGACTACATTAATGGATGGGGAGAGACTTCTAGGACACAGACTTTGGCAAAATATGGTCATCATAAAGAAAATGGCTGAGTATATCTCTAGGCTTTCGAGTATTGTCATTTGCACTGTGTTATTTTTCCCTCCAAGGGGTTATTTGGGGAAAATTGTATACATCCCAGGGTTGAACTTCCAAACAAATGCAAGCTGCAACCAGCCCCAGAGCTACATATGGGCATGTCCCTAGGGTGGCTTTAGAAAAGCGTAGTTCTCTCTGTGCTCAGCTCAACCTGCCCCCTCTGCCCTGAGACGCACACACACACACACACACACACACACACACACACACACCACTCCCCCCGCCCCCCCACCCCCACAGTTCCTTCCCTTGCAGAAGAGATGAGAAAACCTCTCTTTCTTTCTACTGTAGAGCAATTCCTTTGGAGGACAAAGACTGTTGCAATGAGCTTTTTGTCTCGGCAGAGTTTGCTAATACATTTAAAAATATTTATTGTGAATGGGTTGGAGGAGGTTGCTGTGGGAAGCCCTGTGTGTTATGTATACCTTTGCATGCTTCAGCAATGCCTGCCCAGTGCTTTGGGGACTCAGCAGATGTCCACAGATGATGATAGTGACTTTGAGGAACCCCCATATTTCTTGAATTTTTCATAATGAGTGTAGAAAGAGGTCCCAGCACTGGAAAGGAAGGTGGGGAGCTGTTCCCCTCATTGCTTACAGTGGTCTACCTCTTGTAAACACAAACCTCTACCTTGAGGAGCACCTTTCTGAGGTCAAGTGTGCTTCTGAGAGGGCAGGTGCCAGCCATGCATCACAATCTAGGGAGGTGGGAAGTGTGAAGTTGCATGGAGGCAGGGAACCTGGGCTCTAGACACGACTCTGCCTCTAACATTCTGTGGAAACCTCAGGCTTCTGTCACTTTGAGCCTTGGTTTTCCATGGGTAAAGTGAGACCATGGAGACCCACCTCACATAATTGTTGAGAGGATTGTTTAAAATACATGTTTTGGCCAGGTGTGGTGGCTCACACCTGTAATCCCAGCGCTCTGGGAGGCTGAAGCAGGAGGATCACTTGAGACCAGGAGTTCGAGATCAACGTGGGCAACATAAAGAGACCTCATCTCTATAAATTTTTTTTAAAAAATTAGCCAGGAATGGTGGTACAAGCCTCTAGTCCCAGCTACTTGGGAGGCTCTGGTGGAAGGATTAACTGGGTCCAAAAGTTCAAGGCTGCAGTGAGCTATGATTGTGCCACTGTACTCCAGCCTGGGCAATAGAGTGAGACCCCATCTCTAAAATAAATAAATTTAAAAAATTAATACATGTGGAACATTTCAAAAACATGAAATAATAGGGAAAACAATGTAGTGAAACTTCATTTTCTCTCATCCAACTTCAGTAATTGCCAGCTCCCAGTTTTGTGTCATCTCTATTCCCACTCCCAGCCCCTTCCCATTACCCCTCAATGCCAGAATATGAGGACTTCATGGCATGGAACAGTGGCATGGAAGTGCCCTCCAGAGTATCTAACACATAGCAGATGCTTAGAAAATGTTTGTGGAATCTGAACTATTTAATAGTACATGCTTTATAATTATTACCTACTGTAGCATGGCGAGAGGGTACAGTATTTCTCACTGCCTTATGGATGAGATGACCTAGTCTCAGGTCAAGTGACTTGCCTAAGATCATGCAGCCACATAGGAATATGGTGCTATCCTAGAACCATGGTTTCCAAATCCCACACGTGTACTCTTGGCAGTATGCTCTGCTGCCTCTGTGTTGATTTTTCCTTTTGAATATCTTCTTAGAGAGGAATAGGAGACTTGTAAAGTTTTATGTGGGCTCACAGTTTAAAGAGAACCTGTTTATGGGGTTGTAATAACCATGTATTCACGGACACAACTGCTTATGTCTGCAAAAGATCAGCAATTCATCAGACACTTTGTGAGTTATTTTCTTCTCTGATTGTCAGAGTGAAAGGTGAGTAAGATCACTTCTCTCAGGGAGCTCACAGTCATATGCACTGAGTCACATGACATAGAGTGGAGCGTGATGAGCGTAATGGCAACAGCATGAACCAAGTACTGAGGGTGCATGGAGGAAGGTTGTTTAACTCCTAGCTTCTGTCTTCATTAAGAATTATCAATACTTCCAGCCATTTATGACAAACCCACAGCCAATATCATCCTGAATGGGCAAAAGCTGGAAGCATTCCCCTTGAAAACCAACACAAGGCAAGGATGCCCTCTCTCACCACTCCTATTCAACATAGTATTGGAAGTTCTGGCTAGGACAATCAGGTAAGAGAAAGAAATAAAGATATTCAAATAGGAAGAGAGGAAATTGAATTGTCTTTGCAGATGACATGCTCCTGTATCTAGAAAACCCCATCATCTCAGCCCCAAAGCTTCTTAAGCTGATAAGCAACTTCAGCAAAGTCTCAGGATACACAATCAATGTGCAAAAGTCACAAACATTCCTATACACCAACAACAGACAAGCAGAAAGCCAAATCATGAATGAACTCCCATTCACGATTGCTACAAAGAGAATAAAATACCTAGGAATACAGCTAACAAAGGGAAGTGAAGGACCTCTTCAAGGAGAACCACAAACCATTGCTCAAGGAAATAAGAGAGGACACAAACAAATGGAAAAACATTCCATTCTCATGGATAGGAAGAATCAGTATTGTGAAAATGGCCCACAGTAAGTTGTAGACTCAATGCTATTCTCATTAAGCTACCATTGAAATTCTTCACAGAATTAGAAGAAACTATTTTAAAATTCATATGGTACTAAAAAAAGAGCTTGTATAACCAAGACAATCCTAAGCAAAAAGAGCAAAGCTGGAGGCATCACGCTACCCAACTTCAAACTGTACTACAAGGCTACAGTAACCAAAACACCATGGTGCTGGTACAAAAAAAGGCACACAGACCAATGGAACAGGATAGAGAACTCAGAAATAAGACCATACATCTACGACCATCTGATCTTCGAGAAATCTGACAAAAGCAAGCAATGGGGAAAGGATTCCCTATTTAATAAATGGTGCTGGGAGATCTGGCTAGCCGTATGCAGAAAATTGAAACTGGACCCCTTTCTTACACCTTATACCAAAAGTAATTCAAGATGGATCAAATAGTTAAATGTCAAAGCCAAAACTATAAAACCGTAGAAGAAAATCTAGGCAATACCATTCAGGACATAGGCACAGGCAAAGATTTCATGACAAAATTGCTAAAAGCAATTTCAACAAAAGTGAAAATTGACAAACAAGATCTAATTAAACCAAAGAGCTTCTGCACATGATAAGAAACTATTGCAGAGTGAGCAGGCAACCTACAGAGTGGGAGAAAATTTTTGCAATTTATCCATCTGATAAAGGTTTAATATCCAGAATCTGCAAGGAGCTTAAACAAGTTTATAAGAAAAAAAAATACTAAAAAGTAGGGAAAGGACAGGAATGGACACTTCTCAAAAGAAGACATTCGTGCAGCCAACAAACATATGAATAAAAGCTCAACATCACTGATCATTAGAGAAATGCAAATCAAAAACCACAATGAGACACTATCTTACACCAGTCAGAATAGCTACTATTAAAAAGTCAAAAAACAACAGATGCTGGTGAGGTTGCAGAGAAACAGGAATGCTTTACACTGTTGGTGGGAATGTCAATTAGTTAAACTATTGTGGAAGATAGTGTGGAAATTCCTTAAAGATCTAGAACCAGAAATACCATTTGACCCAGCAATCACATTACTGAGTATATACCCAAAAGAATATAAATCATTCTATTACAAAGATACATTCACATGTATGTTCATTGTAGCACTATTCACAATAGCAAAGACATGGAATCAACCCAAATGTCCATCAATGATAGACTGGATAAAGAAAATGTGATACATATATACCATGGAATACTATGCAGCCATAGAAAGGAATGGGATCATGTTCTTTGCAGGGACATGGATGGAGCTGGAATTCATTGTCCTCAGCAAACTAATCCAGGGATGGAAAACCCAAACACCGTGTGTTCTCACTTATAAGTGGGAGCTGAACAAATGAGAACACATGGACACAGGGAGGGGAGCAACACACACTGGGGCCTGTCAGGAGATGGAAGGGGGTAGGGAGAGCATTAGGCAAAATATCTAATGGATGCTGGGCTTAATACCTAGGTGATGGGTTGATAGGTGCAGCAAAATACCATGGCACACGTTTACCTATGTAACAAACCTGCATGTCCTCCACACGTACCCTGGAACTTGAAATAAAAATAAACATTTTTTAAAAAGAGCTATCAATACTTCCAAAAGTTGTGACCCTGGAACCATGGCAATTTGTACTCACGCTTATACAATCCTAGAAGCTGACTACTAGGTTTAATCTTTTCATGAACTAGGAGTCTTCATTAGGTCAATGTACCAGATTAACAATGACCACACCAGGAGAGGTGCCATCTATTTATCTATTAATCAATATTAACACTGAAATTTTAGGCCAACTGTAAAGAGCTAACCAACTGTGAAGTGTGGGAACTTGATCTACACTTCTGACAGCAATTGCAAATTCAAGGGTCCCGATAATTTGTTAGAAGGACTCATAGAACTCACTGAAGTCTGTTGTACTTAAGGTTATGGTTTATTACAGGGAAGGGATGCAGGTCCCTTCTTCAACCAAGGGAAGAAATGCATAGGGTGGGGTCCCAGAAAGCAGCAAACGCAGAGCTTCCGGGTGTCCTCCTTCCATCAAGTCAGGACAGTGTTTCTTTCTCAGCATCGGCATGTGACAGTAAGTTCAGAGTATTGCCAGCCAGGGACACTCATGCAAGCCTTGTGTCCAGAGTTTTTACTGAGGCTTGATCACATACCACCTGCATGGTTGACCTTCAGTCACCAGCCCTTCTGGAGGTAGACCTGATACAATGTGGCTCAAAACCCCCTTCATAGATCTCGTTAGATTGTCCAGTGGCCAAAGCCCCAAGGCAAACAAAGACACTCCCATCAGGCAGGGCATTCTATGGAGATCACTTCCCAGAAGCTGAGGGTGGGGGCCAGCTGCTGCAAAGGCGCTCTTTAGTTGAGCGGGGTGGGGGGTGGGGGGTGGCGGGACCAGGGTGGGACCAGGGACCGGAATGTGGGGCAGGATGCAGAGTGGAGAGGCTCGCTCAGGTGAAGGCACTACTGTGTCACCATTGGCTCCTGGGTCCTGGCTCCAGGTGGGGAGAAGCAGTTTCTCTTTCTGGGGCAACAAATAAAATCCCTCCGGGCACAGGAGTGCTCATTGCTGGTTGGTTATGCCAGTCTGTCTCTATTTTTAGAAAGAACCACAAGAAGGAGGAAAAGAATCTAGAGAAATAAGTACAGTTGGTTCCTCCCTGAGGCAGAAGCTGGGTTCTGTGGGATGAAGCACAGATGCAAAGCCATTGTCCTGCCACCCAGCAGTGCAGTCGGAGATGGATGGCATGAATCTAGAATACCATGGGAATGGGTCCTTGCCCTGGGCCAGTAAACATTTGAGACTCAGAGCCAGGAGATAGGATGAGAAGATTGCAGTGATGAGACCCACAAAGGGCAGCAGCCATCTCTTAAGGGATCAACTTGGAGACCAAATCCATCACTTCTTGGAGGTCCAGTAGCCCCTGCACCCTCTGCGCTTTGCAGAGACATCCTGCAGTTCAGGGAAGAAACGGAGCTGAAGGGCATGTGGAAGAAGAATGTCACAGAGATGCAAGGGGTTGGATTATTGGTTGGCTTAAGGTCAAATCATTATTTGCTGCCTGAAGAAAAAAAAAGACCTTGCTTAGGGACAGAAGTACTTGTTCTGGTCTTAGGTCAGATGAGGGGGTAAAGCAACTCTTCCAACTGTCATGGAATTGGGTATTTTGCCACCAAAAATTTCATGATCCAATAATGATGATCATAATCAGTGAATGCTGGATTAAACTGAAAATAGTACAGGACTTCTCTGAGCCTTTACTATGAATTTGCCCATTAAATTCCCTAAAAGAGAAGGAGAAGCTATGCGTATTGAATATCTGTTAGTACCTGGAAAATCCAGTTTTCTGTTTTTCAGTATGGGGGAGAACAGAACCCCGCTTGAGGGTTGAAACAAATTCCTCTGAACACAGTATGGGGAATTCAGAAGAGATTAAAAGAACATATGATTGGAATTATTCAGATCTGGATGAGAAGCCTGGGCCAGCTGTTTGACTAGTGTACTAGTGTAACCCTGGTCAAGCAACCAAACTTCTTGGGTCTTAATTTTCTTATGTATAAGATGAGACTAATAATTCATATCTCAAAGTTATTGAGAGGAATAAATGAAATCAGGTAAGTAAAGAATCCTTAAAAGAGCCTGTAACATAGTAAGCATATAAGAAATGGATGGATGCATGGATGGATGGATGCCTGGATGGATGGTTAGATGGATGGTTAGATAGATGGAAGGATGGGTAGATAGATGGAAGGATGGGTAGATAGATGGATAGAATGATGGACGCCTGGATGGATAGGTAGATGGGTGGGTGGATGGATGGAAGGATGGGTAGATAGACGGATGGAATGATTAATCTTGGCCCACTACCTTAGCTAGATAGGGTCATTGTTCTAGCACATACCCAGACCATCAAGCATGAGTTTGTGTGTATGCACATGCTTGTGTGTGCACATATGTGCATAAATATATATGCAAGCACTCATGCATGAATTTTCCTGAACCTTTTCCAAAGACAGAAAAGTTAGAAGCTCTTCCACCATGCTTCCATAATATCCTGGCAGTGGCTATATCACAACTACTCCACTGCACTGTAACTGTTTCATAGCCCATCTATCTCTGCTAGAACACTAAGCATCCTGGACCACAAAGGTCATAGCCCAGTCCCTGCAACACCATGAATGCTTATAAAATCATTGTAAAATGATTCTTCTCAATTGTCTAGGCAGGTAGGGCCACTGCACCAGTGACATCTGAGAGGCCTGACCCGACCAGCCTATCAGTGTATCTTAACCCCTCTTGAGGGTCAAAACAAATTCCTCTGAACTCAGCACTCACTAGTGAGTTGGAGGAGGCTGATGACAGGGCTGGTGTCTAGAGTAGGATGAGATGAGCTCTGGGAGCCATAACAGTGCAGAGGTTCCTGCCATCAGCATTTCAGGGTATGGGCTGAGCATTTCAGCATTTCAGGGACTGGGCACAGCAGCTCACACCTGTCATCCCGGCACTTAAGGAGGCCAGGGCAGGCGGATCACCTGAGGCCAGGAGTACAAGATCAGCGTGGCCAACAGGGTGAAACCCTGTCTCTACTAAAACTATAAAAATTAGCCAGGCGTAGTGGCGGGCGCCCGTAATCCCAGCTACTTGGGAGGCTGAGGCAGGAGAATGGCTTGAACCCAGGAGGTGGAGGTTGCAGTGAGCCGAGATCACACCACTGCACTCCAGCCTGGGTGACAAGAGCGAGACTCTACCTCTAAATAAATAAAAAAATGTGCCACGGAAGCCTGCTCCGTACTCACCTCACCAAATGTCAGAGTCAGGGACACAGGGCATGCCCCACAGGGTGGGATGACAGGAAGTCCACCTGGGCCCTGACCCTCCTGACCGCCCCTCATCTGGGGGTACACTAACCCTTTCGGACTGCAGGGTGCCCTGAACATTAGGACTGTGGGGTACCCCAATCCTTTAGGACTGTGAGGTGCCCTGAACATCAGGGATGTGGGGTACCCCAACCATTTAGGACTATAGGCTGCCCTGAAATGACGGCCAGGGGGTACCCTGACCTTTTAGGGCTGTGGGACACACTGACTTCTTAAGACTACGGCTGGTGCCTACAGGAGTCCAAGGGATACCAGGCCTATGTGGGGAGGGGGCAGAGGTAGAAAAGCAATGGGGGAGGTGCGGGGCATCGGCTGTCCCTGCCCTGGAGAGGATGGGGCCAGCCAGGTAGGTGTGCAGCCAGGACCACTCAAGGACTCAAGGGAGAGATGCGGTCGGGGAGAGAGGAGTGGGGGACGGGGAGAGAGGAGGGGGGGATGGGGAGAGAGGAGGGGGGGACGGGGGGTGGGGAGAGAGGAAGGGGTGCCGGGGAGAGAGGAAGGGGTGCCGGGGAGAGAGGAAGGGGTGTCTGGGAGAGAGGAAGGGGTGTTGGGGAAAGAGGGGAAAGGGGACAGAGGGGGCGGGGACAGGAGCCGGAACCGGGGTCACACGTGGAAGGCCAGGACCCTGGGTCAGGAGTGGGAGCCAAGACCCGGGGTCACATGTGGGGCTGGCCACCTGACTGGAGTGTGGTCTTCAGTCATGCTGTCACCAGGCTGTGGGACCTCAGGGATGCAGTGAGGGAGCCAGGCCTCGGGGGCCCAGCCTGGATTCTGCCGACTCCCATCCCTCAGCCTCACCAAGAGGCCACTGACTTCGTCACTGCACAGAGATCCCATCCTGGGGTTCTGGGGCCTGTGCAGGAGAAACACAGGTGCAGGGCCACGTGCCCACACCGCTGGCATCTGTGCTCCACAACCAAACTCCTAGAGCCATCATCATCTCTGGGCTGCAGTGCCCGCCGGTGACAACTCCCTGACCACCTCGCTGTGGTCACACTCCTGTCCCCGTGGGTAGAAAATCCAGTGATGCGTGTAGACAAAGAGCCCTCTGCACACCTGGAACCCCAGCGCCTTGGGAGGCCCAGGTGGGGGGATCACCTGAGCTCAGGAGTTTGAGACCAGCCTGGGCAACATGGCAAAACCTCATCTCTAGGAAAAATTTAACCATCAGACGGACACGGTGGTGCACACCTGTAATCCCAGCTACTAGGAAGGCTGAGGCAGGAGAATCGCTTGAACCCGGGAGGCAGAGGTTGCAGTGAGCCGAGACCGCACCACTGCACTCCAGCCTGGGTGACAGAGCAAGACCCTGTTTCAAAAAAAAAAAAAAAAAAACCATTTAGCCATTTGCATGATGAGGACCATAGAGAATAAAAAATAAAATGAAAAGAATCTCAACAACTCACTCTCCAATTCCTTTAGGAAAATGAAATGAGAAACATACACATGTAAAGTATTTAGTATTCCCTGCAGTTTAAGAAACAGAATCCAGGGCCAGGCGAGGTGGCTCACGCCTGTCATCCCGGCACTTTGGGAGGCTGAGGCGGGTGGATCACCTGAGGTCAGGAGTTCGAGACCAGCCTGGCCAACATGCTGAAACCCCATCTCTACTAAAAGTACAAAAAGTAGTAGCCGGGTGTAGTGGCACATACCTGTAGTCCCAGCTACTCGGGAGGCTGATGCAGGAGAATCACTTGAACCCAGGAGGTGGAGCTTGCAGTGAGTCGAGATCGCGACACTGCACTCCAGCCTGGGTGGCAGAGCAAGACTCTGTCTCCAAAAAAGAAAAAAGAAAAAAAGAATCCTTGTCAGTCTACGGACAAGAATGCCAGTACCACACCATCATGATGAGGGTCACTTCTGTGGGACACACAAGACACAGCTCACACCTGCCCCTACACACAGCTATTTCTGACCCCAAACAGCGAGGCAGTCACTTCAGACCCAAAAGGAAGGTGAAGCCTGCGGCCCTGCACCATCCGCGTGCCACTGCACTGACTTAAAGTTTCTCACGGGCTGGGTGTGGTGGCTCACGCCTGTAATCCCAGCACTTGGTGACGCCGAGGCAGGTGGATCACCTGAGCTCGGGAGTTCGAGACCAGCCTGGCCAACATGGTGAAACTCTGTCTCTACTAAAAATACAAAAATTAGCCAGGCATGATGGCAGGCACCTGTAATCCCAGCTACTCCAGAGACTGAGGCAGGAGAATGGCTTGAACCCGACAGGTGGAGGTTGTAGTTAGCCGAGATCATACCACTGCACTCCAGCCTGGGTGACACGGCGAGGATCCATCTCAAAAAATAAATAAATAAATAAAGCTTCTCGTGAATGATGAAACCAAAATTACCATCGCGTCTGCACTGTATGGATCTGTCTGCTACAACCAGCAGGACCACAGCCAGGCTGCAACTCACTTTCTTTACAAAAAGCACCAGGGATGACCAGGAATTAGTCCCCACCAGGTGACACTCACAGCCTTACCCACACGTAGGAGCCCCACGGACATATGGATCAAATACAATACGAGAGACACACATCTCACCCCATTCTGTGCAGCCAACACAGTGCACATTCAGCATACGGTTTGGTTTGCTTTTTGTTTTTTTCTGAGACCGGGTCTCACTCTGCCTCCCAGGCTGGAGCGTGGTGGTGCAATCTCAGCTCACTGCAGCCTCCACCTTCTGGGCTCGAGTGATCTTCTCACCTCAGCTTCCTGTGTAGCCAGGACCACAGGTCCCACGCCCAGCTAATTTTTTTTTTAAGAGATAGGGTCTCACTATGTTGCCCAGGCTGGTCTTGAACTCCTGGGCTCAAGCAGCCCTCCCCATTTGGCCTCCCAAAGTGCTTGGCACAGGGTAGATTTTAAGTTAAAAATCTCACAAAACAGGCCGGGTGCAGTCTTATGCCTGGAATCCAGCACTTTGCAAGCCCGATTGGGGTGTTTTTTTTAGTAGAGATGGGTTTTCGCCACTGGAATCCAGCACTTTGGGAGGCCAAGTGGGGAGGGCTGCTTGAGTCCAGGAGTTTGAGACCAGCCTGCAGAGCATAGGCTCAGAGACTCTGTCTCCATGAAAAAAAGGCACACACACACACACACACATGCACACACACGCACAGGTGTGGTGGTGGACGCCTGTAGTCCCAGCTATTTAGGAGGCAGAGGTGGGAGGATTGCTTGAGCCCAGGTGGTAGAGGCTAAAGTGAGCTGTGATCACACCACTGCACTATCTAGCCTGGGCAACACAGCAGAAACGTGCCTCGAAAAATTAAACGTTTACAGGCCAGGCACGGTGGCTCACACCTGTAATCCCAGCACTTTGGGAGGCCAAGGTGGGTGAATCACCTGCAGTCAGAAGTTTGAGACCAGCATGACCAACATGGAGAAACCCCATCTCTACTAAAGATACAAAAAAATTAGCAGGGCATGGTGGTACATGCCCGTAATCCCAGCTACTCAGGAGGCTGAGGCAGGAGAATCGCTTCAACTCGGGAGGCAGAGGTTGCAGTGAGCTGAGATTGCGCCACTGCATTCCAGCCTGGGTGACAGAGCAAGACTCCGTCTAAAAAAAAAAAAAAAAAGTTTAGAAAACAATATACATAATATGAATTTTTTTTCCTAAGACAGAATTTCGCTTGTTGCCCAGGCTGGAGTGCAGTGGTGCAATCTTGGCTCACCGCAATCTCCGCCGCCCAGATTCAAGCGTTTCTCCTGCCTCAGCCTCCCGAGTAGCTGGGATTACAGGCATGCACCACCATGCCTGGCTAATTTCTGTATTTTAGTAGAGACGGGGTTTTACCACATTGGCCAGGTTGGTCTCGAACTCCTGACCTCAGGTGATCCCCCTGCCTGGGCCTCTCAAAGTGCTGGGATGACAGGCGTGAGCCATTGTGCCTGGCCATGAATCCAGTTTTGATACAATTTTGAGAAACACAAATGTCTATATACAGACATACACAGGTATATCTATTATCCATGCATGCGTGCCTACACACACTCACAAATGTGTGTGTGCATGTGTGTATACTTATACATTTTGGTGATATTTGGTGATATTCTTCTAGCCCCATATAGGACTGCAGGAACATAACCAAATCTTTTTTTTTTTTTTTTTTGAGATGGAGTCTTGCCCTGTCACCCAGGCTGGAGTGCAGTGGCACAATCTTGGCTCACTGCAACCTCCACATCCCAGGTTCACGCCATTCTCCTGCCTCAGCTTCCTGAGTAGCTGGGACTACAGGTGCCTGCCACCACGCCCGGCTAAATTTTTGTATTTTTAGTAGAGACAGAGTTTCACTGCGTTAGCCAGGATGGTCTCCATCTCCTGACCTCGTGATCCGCCCGCCTCGGCCTCCCAAAGTGCTGGGATTACAGGCTTGAGCCACTGCACCCGGACAACCAAATCTTAACAATGCTTATCTCAGGGCCGGGTGCAGTGGCTCACACCTGTCATCTCAGCACTTTGGGAGACCGAGGCAGGCGTATCACCTAGGTCAGGAGTTCGAGACCAGCCTGGCCAACATGGGGAAACCTCGTCTCTACTAAAAATATGAAATATTAGCTGGGCGTGGTGGTTGGTGCCTGTAATCCCAGCTACTCGGGAGGCTGAGGCAGGAGAATCGCTTGAACCCAGGAGGCAGAGGTTGCAGTGAGCCAAGGTTGTGCCATTGCACTCTGGCCTGGGCAATAAGAGCAAAACTCTGTCTCAAAAAAACAAAACAAAACAAAAAGAAAAACAAACTTGCAAACCTATTATAAAACAGCCACCCCCTGGCTGGGCACAGGGGCTCACGCCTGTCATCACAGCACTTTGGGAGGCCAAGGCGGGTGGATCACCTGAGTTCGGGAGTTTGAGACCAGCCTGGCCAGCATGGAGAAACCCCCATCTCTACTAAGAATACAAAATTAGCCAGGCGTGGTGGCAGGTGTCTGTAATCCCAGCTACTTGGGAGGCTGAGGCAGGAGAATCACTTGAACCCAGAAGGCAGAGGCTGCAGTGAGCCGAGATCTTGCCATCGCACTCCGGCCTGGGCAACAAGAGCAAAAGTCTGTCTCAAAAAAAAAAAAAAAAAGAAAAAAAGAAAAACAAATTTTCAAACCTGTTATAAAACAGCCACCCCCTTGGCCTGACGTCATGCCTCACGCCTGTCATCCCAGCACTTTGGGAGGCTGATGCAGGCCTTGAACTCAGGATTTTGAGACCAGCCTGGCCAACGTGGTAAAACCCTGTCTCTACCAAAAATACAAAAGTTAGCCAGGTGTGGTGGTGCATGTTTGTAATCCGAGCTAGCTGGAAGGCTGGGGTGGAAGGATGACTTGAACCTGGGATGCAGAGTTTGCAGTGAGCTGAGATCACGCCACTACACTCCAGCCTGGGTGAGCGAGTGAGACTCTGTCTCAAAAAAACAAACAACGGTCACTCCCAACCAACTCACATTAAACCGTTCTCTCAAGGGCTATGGATAAACAGTTCGAATTTTAAGAACACAGGCTGCCATGAGACATTTTAAATTTTTTTTGTCAGCAGAGGGTAGAAAGTTACAAAACTCAATGACAGGAAATTGCAAATTTCTAAGATTATAGTAGGCAAAATATCAACGTAATCTTTTTTTTTTTTTTTTTTTTTGAGATGGAGTCTCACTGTCTCCCAGGCTGGAGTGCAGTGGCGCAATCTCAGCTCACTGCAAGCTCCACCTCCTGGGTTCACAACACTCTCCTGCCTCAGCCTCCCGAGTAGCTGGGACTACAGATGCCCGCCACTACGCCAGGCTAATTTTTTTGTATTTTTAGTAGAGACGGGGTTTCACCGTATTAGCCAGGATGGTCTCGATCTCCTGACCTTGTGGTCCGCCTGCCTCGGCCTCCCAAAGTGCTGGGATTACAGACTTGAGCCACTATGCCCGGCCTTTTTTTTTTTTTTTTAAACACTTGTGAAGGTACACAGGTAAATAATCAGATTTTTTTTTTTTTTTTTTGAGACGGAGTCTCGCTCTGTCACCCAGGCTGGAATACAACGGCATCGTCTCAGCTCACTGCAACCTCTGCCTCCTGGGTTCAAGCAATTCTCCCACCTCAGCCTCCAGAACAGCTGGGATTACAGCCATGGGCCACCACGCCTGGCTAATTTTTTGTATTTTTAGTAGATATAGGTTCTCACTATGTTGGCCAGGCTGGTCTCGAATTCCTGACCTCAGGTGATCCGCCTGCCTTGGCCTCCCAAAGTGCTGGGATGACAGGCATGAGCCACCGTGCCCAGCGTAGATTTATTGGATTCTAAAATGCACAATTCTCTATGTTTCGGTGTTTCTGAAACCAAGGTCATCTCACCATCCACAGGAATCTTTAATAGTTTTTCTTTTTTTCCCCAACAGTTATTACATCACTGATGCATCTTAAAAGTCACTGGTATTTGAAAGTCAAGAAAACAGGAAACTCTCAAAACCAAGTTCTGAAAGCCACAGGGTGTTTCTGCTAAGCTGGCTGCGGCCTCCTGTGTATTTCGAATACCAGCCACAGTGTGGCGGCCACATCTCACCCAGGCAGGCCTCCATAACAGCTTCAGTACCAACTGAGTGGCGAAGTTACATATAAAAACCTGAAAGAGGCCGGGCACGGTGGCTCATGCCTGTCATCCCAGCACTCTGGGAGGCGAGGCGGGGGATCACGAGGTCAGGAGATCGAGACCATCCTGGCTAACATGGTGAAACCCTGTCTCTACTACTAAAAATACAAAAAATTAGCCAGGCGTGGTGGTGGGCACCTGTAGTCCCAGCTACTCGCGAGGCTGAGGCAGGAGAATGGCGTGAACCCGGGAGGCGGAGGTTGCACTGAGCCGAGATTGCGCCACTGCACTCCAGCCTGGGTGACAGAGTGAGACTCTGTCTCAAAAAAAATTAAAAAACAAACCTGAAAGAGCCAGTGTCCTTATACGAAGGCTGGAATGTAACAAAGACCCACCAAGAGTTTTGCCCAGGCCTTTCCTGGGCCTTGAAAATATGACAACGAAGGAATTCCTAACAGGACCTGTTTGGGTTTACGTAGTTTTACTGGGGATCTGAAAAACTCCCCTTATCTCGGGTAATCACCACAGCACCTGGACCCACCTACATTAAGTCAATTTACTGAGGCTCCAGAGAAAGGTCTTCAGGACTCAGACCTTTGTTATAGATTAGAAGAAGTTAATGCCTTTTTTCTTTTTTCTGAGGCCGAATCTCACTCTGTTGCCCAGGCTGGAGTACAGTGGCACCATCTCAGCTCACTGCAACCTCCATCTCCTGGGTTCAAGCAATTCTCCTGCCTCAGCCTCCTGAGTAGCTGGGACTACAGGTGCCCACGACCACACCTGGCTAATTTTTTGTATTTTTAGTAGTGACAGGGTTTCACCGTGTTAGCCAGGATGGTCTGGAACTCCTGACCTCAGGTGATCCACCTGCCTCGGCCTCCCAAAGTGCTGGGATTATGGGTGTGTGCCACCACGCCCGGCCCCGCTTATGTCTTTAGATGAATGCACACTTACACATAGGCATATAAAAGGTATATAAGCTCTGGAAAACTTTGTAATTTTGAGTCGGTCTGGTGATAATTTCCAGACCTTCTCCCTGCACCTGGTTACAGAAATAAAACCTATCTTCTCTCCCAGTTCATCCACATCTCATTATTGGGCCGTGAGAATAAGCAGGCTGAGATTCGGTTTGGTCTGGGAACAAGAGAAGTGACATTATCCTACCATAATCAGTTCTTTTTCCCTCTTTTCCTCTGTCAGGACATAGTATCAATAACAGAGAAGACAGTAAGACACTCACCACCTCATTAGCAAGAACGTTAATCCCCACCGCTCCCCTCCCTCACCTCCCAAAACCACTGGGAGGGCACTGCTGGGGTACACGTGGCCACGTCAGGAAACTGGAAGAAAGGAAGGCAGGGCTGGGCGCAGGGGCTCACGCCTGTAAGCCCAGCACTTTGGGAGGACGAAGCGGGTGGATCACCTGAGGTCGAGAGTTTGAGACCAGCCTGACCAACACGGAGAAACCCTGTCTCTACTAAAAATACAAAATTAGCCAGGCACAGTGGTGCACACCTGTAATCCCAGCTACTCAGGAGGCTGAGGCAGGAGAATCGCTTGAACCTGGCAGGCGGAGGTTGCAGTGAGCCAAGATCGTGCCACTGCAGTCCAGCCTGGGCAACAGAGCAAGGCTCTGTCTCAAAAAAAAAAAGAAAAAATTCTTACAGAGAAGAGGGTCTCGCGATGTTGGCCAGGCTGGTCTCGAACCCCTGGGCTGAGGCAATCCTCCTGGGTTGGCATCCCACAGTGCTGGGATTACAGGCCTGAGCCACTGCGCTCGGCCATCTATGGCTTTTTATCCCCACTATAAGACAAGGAAGAGGCATAGCTCAGGAGTGAGCTGAGTCGACACCAGGTGGCGCCCAGGTCCCGAGCCTGCTCTGTCCGCAATGCAGCCTTCATCCCCCGACCTGCACGTCCCCTCTCATCCCAGAGCACACCCTCCGGGGCCATCATCCCCCCACCCGCAGGGCTCACCCTCCAAAGGACCCCAGGGCCTGCGTGGTGGTCCGTGGACTCACTTACCAACCCTCCTTCTGCTCGGCCTCCTGAAGCCCTTGGATGGCTCGGAGGGCACGGGGACCAGGTACTAAAGGATAATGATGGCTACACACATGTCCCTAAGCTCACTACCTGGGGACGCCCTCATTCTGTCTCTCAGTCTATTAACAGGGGAGATGGAGCCCAGGAGCCCAGGAGACAGCTACACACACACACACACAAGCACACACACGTCCCTGAGTTCACCACCTGGGGATGCTCTCATTCCGTCTCTCAGTATATTAACGGCAGACAGAGCCCAGGAGATTGACGGCTACACACACACACACACGTGTCCCTGAGCTCACCACCTGGGGATGCACTCATTCCATCTCTATTAACAGGGCAGACAGAGCCCAGGAGATTGGTGGCCACACACACACACACACACACACACACACACACACACACACGTCCCTGAGTTCACCACCTGGGGACGCCCTCATTCTGTCTCTCAGTCTATTAACAGGGGAGATGGAGCCCAGGAGCCCAGGAGACAGCTACACACACACACACACAAGCACACACACGTCCCTGAGTTCACCACCTGGGGATGCTCTCATTCCGTCTCTCAGTATATTAACGGCAGACAGAGCCCAGGAGATTGACGGCTACACACACACACACACGTGTCCCTGAGCTCACCACCTGGGGATGCACTCATTCCATCTCTATTAACAGGGCAGACAGAGCCCAGGAGATTGGTGGCCACACACACACACACACACACACACACACACACACGTCCCTGAGCTCACCACCTGGGGATGCCTTCATTGTGTCTCTCAGTCTATTAACAGGGAAGACGGAGCCCGGGAGACTGACGGCTACACACATGCACACACAGACACACACACACACGTCTCTGAGTTCACCACCTGGGGACGCTCTCATTCCATCTCTCAGTCTATTAACAGGGCAGACGGAGCCCAGGATTGATGGCTACACACACACACACACACACACACACACACACACCTTCCTGAGCTCACCACCTGGGGATGCTCTCATTCCATCTCTCAGTCTGTTAACAGGGCAGACAGAGCCCAGGATTGATGGCTACACTCACACACACACGTTCCTGAGCTCACCACCTGGAGACGTCCAGCACTCCTCCCACAGCATCTTCGAAGCTCTCATTCTGTCTCTCAGTCTATTAACAGGGGACACAGAGCCCAGGAGAGGTCTCTGTCCCGCGCTGTCCTGGCAAATCTGGGTCCCGATTCTGAGTTCAATGGTGTTAAAAAATAATAGGCTATGTCCCCACTAAAGTCTAAATATAGCCAACCCCATTTACCCAGGCTGTGCACATCACAATTCCACTTGTAGAGGCTCCTACCACCATCTTAGGTCCATCCCCAGAAGGTCCATCCCACCCCCACCCCGCCCCCGTCAAGGTCTCACTCTGTCACCCATGCTGGAGTGCAGTGGTGCAATCTCAGCTCACTGCAACCTCCACCTCCCAGGTTCAAGCGATTCTCCTACCTCAGCCTCTGCAGTAGCTAGGACTACAGGTGTGTGCCACCACACCCAGCTAATTTTTGCATATTTAGTAGAGTCGGTGTTTCTCCATGTTGGCCAGGCTGGTTTCGAACTCCTGACCTCAGGTGATCCACCCACCTCAGCCTCCCAAAGTGCTGGAATTACAGGCGTGAGCCACCGTGCCTGACCTCAGACACCTTTTGGTGCTTCTGGTTTGAGATGGGGTCTCACTCTGTCACCCAGGCTGGACCGCAGTGCTGCAATCTAAGCTTACTGCAGCCTCCACCTCCTGGGCTCAGGTGATCCTTCCACCTCAGCCTCCAAAGTAGCTGGGACCACAGGCCCCCACCACCACGCCCGGCTAACTTTTCTTTCTTCTTTTTTTTTTTTTTTTTTTGTAGATACAGGTTCTTACACCATGTTGCCCATGCTGGTGTCAAACTCCTGGGCTCCAGCAATCCTCCCACCTCAGCCTCCCAAGTAGCTGGGACCACAGGCACCCACCACCACGCTGGACTAATTTTTCTTTTTTTATCTTTTTCTTTTCTTTTTTTGTAGATATGGGGTCTTACCATGTTGCCCATGCTAGTGTCAAACTCCTGGGCTCAAGCAATCCTCCCACCTCAGCGTCCTGAGTAGCTGGGACCACAGGCACCCACCACCATGCCCAGCTAAATTTTTTTTTTTGGGGGGTAGAGAAGGGATCTTACCAAGTTGCCCATGCTGGTGTCAAACTCCTGGGCTCAAGCGATCCTCCCACCTCAGCCTCCCAACACGTAAACGGGTGCTACATTTCTGCACAATCCCCGCAGTCTCCCTTATTCTGTTTTACAACTACTCCCACATAAAGTAACATAGAAAGGTGAGCCCCATTATTCCTTTAGAAGGTAGACTGGAGCTTGCAAGAAGCTGTAGGATAAAGATTCAGAGGTCAACTGAGATAAAATGAAACACCCAGGTGATTTTAAGCTAATCAAGGGCCCCTTTCACGTGGGTGATTTTAAACTACCCGAGTGACCCTTTCACACAGGTGATTTTAAATTAATCAAGAGCCTCTTTCACACAGGTGATTTTAAACTAATCAAGTGACCCTTTCACACAGGTGATTTTAAACTAATCAAGACCCTCTTTCACGCAGGTGATTTTAAACTAATCGAGTTCTCCTTTCACAGAACTAAAAGGGGTGGTTAATTTACACAAATGCGCAGGCTACAGCCACCTCTCCTTCCTAGGGACTTCGGGCCGAAAATGCCACCTGTCACACCTCCAATCCAGGCACTGCAGGGCTGTTAGGAGGGGAATTAGCAGCTGGGATACCCCAATCCTACAATGAGGGGGGTTAGCAACCCCTCCTGAAATACCAAAAAGGCCACAGCTTCCTGCAGACGCTTAAGAACCATGCCAATCACAACTGCTTTCCTGAAAAATGCAAGAAGTCCTGGTGAGGGCTGGGGTTGCAGGACGCTTTGCACACCACGGGTAACAGTTTGTGGGGGCGCTTCTCTGGGACTGGCTACCTCTTACTGTCCCCTGGACCAGGGGGGCCCTGCTCTCATCCTTCTGGCATCTCCCAGGCCCCTGCCCCACTCAGAGCTCCACCGCAGGGGCTCCTGAGGCTGGACTCAGAACCGCTGGATCCCATCAAGGCCCCCAAGGCAGACATCTCACAGATGTCTGTGCTGGGGGGTGCGTCTGAGGCTCTCCTTGCTTCATGAGGCTGCTTCACCCCATTCTTGTCTCCCCTCACCTCCTGACACCCTGGGTTCCCCATAGGCCCCCCTCCCCTGCACAGATTTTCACCTAGGCTCTGGGAGGTTGGTGGAGTCCTGGGTTCTAGAAGACCTCAGAGACCCAGGGCAGAGTGAATGTCAGGGGTTATCAGAAGCAGGGGCTGCCCAAGACCAATTGCTGAGGGAAGAAGGAGTGATGAATGAGATGGATAAACATGTCAGCTGTTTGGCTTTCCACAATCATTATCTATTTTCAGCCTCCGTGTCCTGATGTTTAAAATACAGCAGCTAAAATATCTGGTGGTCTTTTCTTCCTCTTCTGAGTGCAGCCACGACATGCCACATCTCTGCCCATGGCCTTCTTGCCTTTGTCTCTAGAGGGTGCCATCAGGGATGGATCTGTCCATGCAGGAAGGAGCCTGAACCCCAGACTCTTGGACCTCAGACTGGGAGAGGGTGTGGGTGAAGGCACGTGGACCAGTGATTGATTAATTGATTGACTGATTTATAGACAGAGTCTCACTCTGTCACCAGGCTGGAGTGTAGTGGCACGATCTCGGCTTACTGCAACCTCTGCCTCCCAGGTTCAAGCGATTCTCCTGCCTCAGCCTCCCGAGTAGCTGGGACTACAGGTGCCCACCACCACACCCAGCTAATTTTTGTATTTTTAGTAGAGACGGGGTCTTGCCATGTTAGCCAGGCTAGTCTCGATCTCTTGACCTCATGATCTGCCCACCTTGGACTCCCAAAGTGCTGAGCTTACAGGTATGAGAGTGCAGGGCCAGAGGATGGCAAAGACAGGGGCTGGCCCCAGGATCCTCAACTGTTGGCATCAGGACCGGACTCAGGGCCTCAGTCTGGCAGCATGGGCGTCACGCTGCCTGCCGGGCAGAGCCCTTTGCCCCACCTGAAAGCCCTGTGGTCACAGTGTAGAGGCTGGAGCGGCATGCTGGGGTGGGAAGTGCTGTCCTTGTTGCTCTGTCCCCTGGCTCAGGAGCCCCTGAGAGTGGCTTCTGCTCCCCGAGCTTCCTGCGCTCCCTGAAAGTTGTGCATCCAGTGCTGAGTCCTGAGGGCCTGGGGGTGTCAGGCCTCCTTCCTGGCTGTGACATGTGGGTTGGAGATTTGCCTTTGTTTTAGTGAAATGCCAGTGGTCAAATTCAACAGGAAAGAGGAAAAAGAAAGCATAAGCCTGAGTCCAGGGTGGAGGATGGTGGCATTGAGGAAGGACCTGGGGCCCTGCTTCTCCCACTGTCTCCAGTCCACACCCTTCTGGAAAGGTCACATGATGGCTGCTGCAGCTCCAGGAGTCACTGTATGGACATGAAAACATCCAAGAAGAGGAGGCATCTCCTCCTTTGCATCACTTTTACTGGAAAGGAATGCTTTCCCCAGAAGTCCCCACACCCCATGTCCCATGCAGCAGACCTGCCTCCAGGTCCTGCTGTTGCAGCTGAGTGCCAAAGGAGATGGAGACAGTGAGGACGTGGAGCTCACAGATTCTGCAGCACTGGCAGGCCTGCCGGCCAGGACCAAGATCACATGTCTGCTCCAGCATCCTCGGGCTTAACCCCTGAGCTGTCCTGCCTTACTCTCTCCTGAACTCTCTGGCCTGTTGCCACCAGGCCAGCTTAACAGAAAATACTAGAACCTGTGGTTGTTGGTAAATGTTTAACAACTGGCTCTCCAGAGGTCAGGGGTTGGGGTAAGCCCCACTTTGAAGGTTTGCTGATTTCCAGGGTATAAACACTCCCACTTTGGTTGATTTCAAGGTACCAATGCAAAGTCCCTGAGTGTGGAGTAGGGAAGAGACGCTCACCATCGGCTCTCGTGAGCCCTACGAACTGGCCACAGTGTACCCCTGACTAGAACCCATGGGAATCCATACCTTAGAGCTGGGAGAAGGGATGCCCTACCCAGGCTGCAGTGCAATAATTAAGGCATTGAAGGAGCTGGCTGGACACAAATGAGACCATTTGTTGGATCCCTACGATGTGCTGATCACACACAAATGTCATGTCGATGCCTCATAACTATCCCTTTGTCTGATGAAGAAACTGGGATTCAGAGAGGTTGAGGCACCTGGTGACTTGTATGGAATCAGAATCCAAACCCAGGTCTGTCTTCTTCCAAAGGCTGTGTCCTTTCACCCAAAACAAAGGCCTAGATTCAGAAGAGACCCAGCTCACTCTCATTCCACCCTGATGACATGCCAGGGGCCAGGATGTTCAAAGTGGAGCATGACTCACAGTCACCGAAAAGTAGGAAAAAGCAAATGTCCATCGCTGAGGAGTGGATAAACGAAACGCGGTCCATCCATACAACTCATACCATCAGCCATAGAGAGGAACGAGGCTCTGACACACCCTACAACGCGATGAACCTTGAACATGATGCTGAGTGACAGAAGTCGGACACAAGGGACCACGTATTACACGATTCATTCCATTTACATGAGAGGCCCAGTGTGGCCAGTCTACAGGGACAGAAAGTGGATGGGTGGCTGTCAGGGGCCAGAGGGATGAGGGAATGAGGAGTGACTGACAACAGATATGGGGTATCTTTGTGGGGTGATGGAAATTTTCTAGAACTAGATGGAGGTGTGCACAATGTGTCAGTGTGCATAGTGCCCCTGAAATTATAAAACAAACCAGGCGGTGGAGGATTCCTCGAAAAGGGATTTTCCTTGCTCCAGCCTCCCAGGCTGAGGCTCTTGTGTCACTTTCTCAAGTTCACTGCAGGCAGCTTCCCATGCTACCAGGTAAAAAGTAAAGGAGGCGAGGCCAGGCATAACGGCTCACACCTGTAATCCCAGCACTTTGGGAGGCTGAGGCGGAGGATCACCTGAGGTCAGGAGTTTGAGACCAGCCTGGCCAACATGGAGAAACCCCATGTCTACTAAAAATACAAAATTAGCCGGGTGTGGTGGTGCACGCCTGTAGTCCCAGCTACTCAGGAGGCTGAGGCAGGAGAATTGCTTGGACCTGGGAGGTGGAGGTTACAGTGAGCCAAGATTACACCATTGCACTCCTGCCTGGGCGACAAGGGTGAAACTCAGTCTCAAAAAAAAAAAAAAAAAAAAGTAAAGGAGGCATTTTACATGCATCTTTTGCACTAAGTACTCTCAACTCCCCTGGAATTGGGGAATGCTATTAACCCCATTTTACAGTGAAGAAAACTGAGGCTCAAAGAGAAATTAAGGAACTTGCCCATGAGCCCACAGCCAGTCTATGGGAGAGCCAGGACTTGGGCCCAGGCCTGTCTGATTCCAAAGTATTGCTCTAAACTCTTCACTGTAGTAAAGCAACATCCAGGTTGCATGGGATTTTCTCTTTCCAGGATGCTAGTTCAGTGGCATGGCAGCTCAGAAGGCCACATAGGCTGGAAGCTTCCATGTCTCCTAGCCTCTGCCCTCCCTCAGCAGGAACGAAGGACTGGAGCTGGAAGGGAAGAGCCCTGTGCTGAGGGCGTCCCAGGCCCGTCCGCCACATCCCTCCAGGACACTCAGCTCTGTTATGACTCGGCTGTGTGGCATTCGTTAGGCCTCATTTTGCTGACCTTAAAAAGTGACCAACAGCAGAGATCAGTCGTCCTCTACAGAGGCTGTGCTACCCCCGGGGGCCTTCTGGAAGTTTTCAGGGGTACAACAAGTGGGACAGTCCCCCAGATGAAGAACTCCCCCAATCCCTCTGCTTTTCACTGTCCCACCAGGCCCTGGTAAATGAAAAACCCTCTTGTAAAACATGGGTCCAGAACCAAACTCTGGGTGTGTCTGTTTTTTGCATCATTGTCATATACATTAGATATTCTGGGAATGCAACCACTGTGTGATCAGGGGAGAACTCCCTCCGGAGTTGTCCAGGATTTGGGAAAATCCCATCACCAGCAGCAGTACCTTCATGGTCTTTGAGCCTCCACATGACACAGCTGTGTCCACGTGCACCTGTGGCTGTCATGTTTATGTGACTGTCTGGCTAGGTACAAGCATCAGGCCACTTCATCATGTCACCTGATATGGCCAGACCCGAACATTCACCTTGTAAAATCTACATTATTTTATTATAATTGACTATCCTTTTGCAATTTTTCTCTATGTTACCGTCAGGGCATTATATTGATTTCTTTTTCTTTTTGCAATTGGTTTGTAGGTGGGTTAGATTTTCTATGAATTTCATTTCAGAATAATAAAGCATTACAAAATATTCATTGCTAAAAAAACAGTGTTGGTCATGTTTGATGGCTCACATCTGTAATCCCAACACTTTGGGAGGCCAAGGCAGGTGGATCCCTTGAGTCCAGAAGTTTGAGACCAGCCTGGGCAACAATAGCAAGACCCCATCTCTAAGAAAAAATTTTTAAAAATTAGCCTGGCATAGTGGTGCACACCTATAGTTCCAGCCACTCGAGAGGCTAAGGCAGGAGGATTGCTTGAGCCCAGGAGTTCAAGGCTATAGTGAGCTGTGGTCCCACTATTGCACTCCAGCCTGGATAACAGTGTGAGACCCTATCTCAAAAAAAAATGTGTTAAGGCTGATACGGTTCTGGGAAACACTGAGATATATGATTTCTTAAGATCCCTTCCAGTTTTTAAATAATTAAACCTGACCTCATAAAACTTTTTCCATAATTCTAGTAAAACCAAGTGCATGGTGCCTTTTAAACAATCCCCAGAGCATCGTTGCACTACTGTGACCCAAGTGTGCCCACAGGCCAATCACAATTAACAAACCCTGAAGACTCTTAAGAGGCTTCCTTCTGGTTCTGGCCCTTGGTAGAACAATCTCTTCTGTGACATTCAATGACAACATCTTTGCCTTGTTTATTTCCTTTTCACCTTAACAAAGAGAAGAGCTGATGCCCTAAACTCAAACTTTCTTATGCTGTCTTTGTGCTTTGACAAGTTCAGTGCTTAACTAGAATATTTTTGTTTTTGTTTTCACTGAAAAGAAAAAAAAAAGAATAAATAGAACTCCAAGGAAATTTGGTAACATATTTTTATGTGCTGGAGTGAGTTCATGCCATGTGACATTCCTTTCTACTAATTATTACTCCTGGGTTTATCTTTCCCTCATCTCTTCTCTAACTGATAATATTCTAACAGCAGCCCACAGGACATTCTGGATGGGTGCCACCTTTTCTGTCTGCACTGAACAGACTGTTCACAATGGCTGGTGTTGGAGATGCCTTGCAGAACCGACAGATGAGCCAGGGAGTAAAAAAAAGCAAAAAAGAGAAAGTGGAGAACAGAGTCAACCAAAATCAGGCAGGGAGCACTGCAGTACCAAGTTGTTCGGGGCTGAAAGATAACCCCCAAAAATGCATGTCCACCCAAAACCTCAGAATGTTGCCTCATTTGGAAATAGGGTCTTTGCAGGTGTAGCTAGTTAAAAATTATGTTCCACTGGAATAGGATGGGGCTTAAATACAATGACAGTGTCTTGAAAAGAAGAGGACACAGAGACACACAGAGGGGAAGGCGCATGAAGATGGAGGAAGAGATGCGTCTATGAAACAAGGAAAGCCCAGGAATGCCCAAAGCCCACAGAAGCTGGGAGAGGCTACAAAGGTCCTGGCACAGAGCCTTAGGAGTGAGCATGGTCCTTTTAATGCCACACTTGTGTCCCGCAGCACTGTGGGAGAATAAATGCTTATTCTTTTAAGTGACTTAGCAGATGAGCATTTGCTATGCAGCCACAAAAAACAAATCCCGGGATCACAGGAAAAGTAATCTTAACAGTAACCCTAATCCTAACCCTAACACTAACCCTAATTGTAACGCTAAAGACTAACCTTAACTCTAACCCTAATTCATGACCTTAACACCCTAACCTTAACCCTAACACTAAACTCAAATGCTAACCCAAAAAGCTAAAGCCAACCCAAAACATAACCTAACCCTTAACCTAAACACTAATCCCACCCTAACCCAGAAACCTAACCATAACCCAAAGCCATAACCCATAAATCTAATCATAACCCTAACCCCAACTCAGACCCTAACACGAACCCTAACCCTAGCCCGAAACACTAAACCTACCCCTAAAACCTAACTCTAACCCTAACCCTAACCCTAAACACTAACCCAACCCAAAACCCTACCCCTGCCACTAAACCATAAATGTAAGCCAAAACCTAAACCCTAACCCTAACACTAACCCTAAATCTAACTCCTAAACCTAAACCCTAACCGGAACCCTAAAACCTAATCTTAACAATAAACCTAAACCCTAACACTAACCCTAAAGCCTAACCCTAACCCTAACTCTAAACCCTAACCCTAACCCTAAGCCCTAACCCTAACCTAACCCTAACCTACAGGTGGGAGAGCAATCTCCACCTGCCCCACTCTCCCTCCATCTAGCCAGCAACTGCAGAGTTGATTTTTAGAATCTGAGTGGTGTGTAGGGTGGAGGAAGAACCTGCTGGGCTCTTTGCCTCACCTACAGGTGGGTGGTTTAGAGACTGACCCCGCCCTGGGTATTCCTTTAGCTCCAGGTAAATGAGCCACTTCCTACATGCTGGGGGCACTTGGTGATGGGAATAATGGCTGACATTTACTGAGTTCTTACCATAGTTCTGGAACTATTCAAATGAATATATATGAATTTCAACACTCTATATTCTATTATATTAAGAATTGTATTAAGAGTATGCATATGCTATTAATGATGTTATCATCAAAATAGCACTTGTATTTTATGAAATCCTAGTCACCATTAGTTGTAAGACACAACACTATGTTACTATGGTTTTAAGAATTAAAAAAAAAATCTGTCAACTAAACACATCATTACTTGTAAATACATCCTAATTTTAGAGATGTTAAAATTCAAATCTTAGAATCAATAAAATATGAAGCCAGGTACAGTGGCTCATACCTGTAATCCAATGCTATGGGAGGCTGGGGTGGGAGGATAGCTTAAGCCCAGGAGTTCAAGGCCAGCCTGGGCACCAGAACAAGACCCCTTCTCAACAAAAAGATTAAAAATTAGCCAGACATGGTAGCATGCCTGTAGCCCCAGTTACTCAAGAGGCTGAGGCAGAAGGATCACTTGAACCCAGAAGTTTGAGGCTGCAATGAGCTCCGATCACACCACTACACTCCAGCCTAGGCACAGAACCTCTCTCTAAAAAATAAAATAAAAATAAAGAATCAATGAAATGTGGTATTATCATCACTCCTATTTTATGGATAAGGAAATTGAGGCTTAGGTCACACAGATTTCAAGGGTAGGGCCAAGATGAAACTCCCTGGCCATGTGACTCTAGGACCCAGGCTCTTTTTTTTTTTTTGAGATGGCGTCTCATTCTGTCACCCAGGCTGGAGTCCAGTGGTTCGATCTCGGCTCACTGCAAGCTCCGCCTCCCAGGTTCACATCATTCCCCTGCCTCAGCCTTCCGAGTAGCTGGGACTACAGATGCCCGCCACCACACCTGGCTAATTTTTTGTACTTTTAGTAGAGACGGGGTTTCACCGTGTTAACCAGCTGACCTTGTGATCCACCTGTCTGGGCCTCCCAAAGTGCTGGGATTACAGGCTTGAGCCACCGCGCCCGGCCTGTAGGGCCCAGGCTGTAAACCACTGTCCCATAGGGGCTATCATTAGGGCACTGCCAGCTCTTCAGTTTCGAGTGTCTTAGGCTGAGTCTACCAGTTATCATCCAATATCCATCTTCTCATTCTTCCTTTAGCATTAGAGCCCTTGAGTTTCCATGGGGCACAGGATCAAGCGCTAAAAGCTGCATTACCAGCCTCTCTTGCAGCTAGATGTGGCTGTTAGAGAAAGAAGAATATAGGAGAGCCAGGGTGACACCACCTAAAAACTCAGCTCTGGCAGAGTGCAGTGGCTCACACGTGTAATCCCAGCACTTTGGGAGGCCACAGCAGGTGGATCACCTGAGGTCAGGAGTTCAAGATCAGCCTGACCAACACAGTGAAACCCTGTCTCTACTAAAAATACAAAAAAAAAAAAATTTAGCTGGCCGTGGTGGCAGGCGTCTGTAATGCCAGCTACTCTGGAGGCTGAGGCAGGAGAATCACTTGAACCTGGGAGGCAGAGGTTGCAGTGAGCTGAGATCACGCCATTGCACTCCAGCCTGGGCAACAAGAGCGAAACTCTGTCTCAAAAACAAAAACAAACAAACAAACAAAAACCTCAGCACTATCTTAAAATTAGCAAGACACATTCCTGGTTGGTCACACTCCATGGTCGTAAGATGTTTACAGTTGAGGAAATGGCCTGATGATACCTGCAAGAACACACTCCTCTGACAACGGAATGTCCAGATGTCCCAACACCCATAACAGTGTATGCTTTCAGGATCATGATAGTCGTGCTGGGATGTATTTATGCACTAAGTGCCAAGCATAGTTTTCTTTAAATCAGCAAAGTAAGAAACGTCATGCTGTGAGCCCATCCGCATGGAGTAGACACAGCTTAGCTTTTCCATAGATAAGGCGTCTTAGTAAGAGGAATTTAAAATGATGATGAGGCACTCCTCCTCTTGCTTTCTGAGGGTATAACTTTCTTTCTGGGCTGTAACTTTCTGGGCTTTCTGGGCTGTCACTGAGTAGTGTTCAATAAGCCATTTCTTCTCACTGCACTCTAAGACTCATTTTGAATTCTTTCCTGTGAAAGATCCAAGAACCCTCTCTTGGGTTCTGGATCAACACAGCCACGTGACACAGTTCTGGCCAGTGAGATGTAAGTGGAAGACACGAATAAAGCTCTGGGCCTTGCTCTCATTTCCTCTTGCCTCCTTGCCTGGCTGGAATGTGGACCTGCTGGCCGGAGCTGAGGCAGCCCCATCTCAGATGTTAAGATGGAAACCACATATTAGGCTTGGCAGACCAGCCAGATAGACACCAAAGGGCACCCAAATTTGCTAGGCTCAATCTGGGGCTGTTTCATGAGAAAGAAACAAGCTTCTATCTTGTTTAAGCCACTGTCATTTTGGCCTTTTTTTCTAGCAGCCAGAACGTGTTCTGATGAACACAGTCAATGCTGCCCTACAGGCACGGTCCTGGCCCTCCAAGAGCTGCAGACTCATTAAATGAGAATGAACAGAAAACACCTAATGCGGGGCTGGGCACAGCACGGGCCCTGGGTAAATGTTAGTTCCTCACAAAACATGGCTGACTCTGGCATGAGTTGCTCAGCTAGCTTGTCATTCTCCTGCTTTCTTCAAATCCTATCCATGTATGGTAGGAAAAGCAGTATTACTCTTGTTTTTCTTTTTCTGTTTTCTTTTATTTATCTTATTTTTTGAAACAGAGTCTCACTCTGTTGCCCAAGCTGGAGTGCAGTGGCATGATCTTGGCTCACTGCAACCTCTGCCTCTTGGGTTCAAGCAATTCTCCTGTCTCAGCCTCCCAAGCAGCTGGTTTTACAGGTATGCATCACCACACCCAGCTAAGTTTTTGTATTTTCAGTAGAAACGGGGTTTCACCATGTTGGCCAGTCTGGTCTCCAACTTCTGGCCTCAAGTGATCTGCCCACTTTGGCCTCCCAGAGTCCTGGGATTATGGGCATGAGCCACTGCACTTGGCCATGTTTATTTTTAGAGAGGGTCTTGCTTTGTTGACCAGGCTTGAGTTTTAGTGGTGCAATCAAGGCTCATTGCAGCCTTGATCTCCTGGCCTCAAGTGATCCTCCTGTCTCAGCCTCCTGAGTAGCTGGGACAACAGGCACATGCCACCACACTCAGCTAATTTTTGTATTCTTATTTTCCTAAGTTCCCCTTCCAAAACCTCCATCACCTTCCCCTTAACAAATCAAATGTTTTCTCGAGAGTCAGGGCAGTAACAGTCAGCTCCTGCCTTTATACGACAATGGACTTTGGCTGCCATCTCTCCCTGTCCATCTGATAGTGGCTTCCACCTCTCCTCAACTCCAGCCAACTCCCTGTGGTCCTGACAAGGTCAGAGCTCCTTGTCCCCACCCTTCATCAAGCCAGAGGATGCTCATGGTCCAGCCTAGCCAGCCAGAGTTCCCCATCCCTCTGGCTACAGTCACTGATTTAGGGATGTGACCGGCATGCAGGCTGGATTGCTCTGAATCTTTACTAAGAACTGGCCAATGGTGTTGGAAGGATGAAGGTCTATTTCCTCAATTCTGACCTATGGGGATCACGAAAGCTATAGCAGGGCACATCGCAAATTACCCCAAAACTTAGTGGCGTAAAACAAGTATTGATTAAGCTTATGGACTCTGGAGGTCAGGAATAGGCACAGTATGGTGCTGGCCTCCAAGGGCTAAGTGTCCCCAAAGAGAGGGATGCCGGCAGAACTGGATTGCCTTTCAGGACCCAGCCTCAAAAGTCATAGAATGTCACTTCCAACATTTTCCATTGGTTGAGAGGGTTACAAACGACACGTGGATGGGACGTATGTTGGTGTGGCCAAATTTAGAATACACAACCTGCCACAGAGCCTGGAGCTACTATCATCCTTGCTCAAGTGGATGAAGATATCTAAAAAGTGACATCACCACACGGAGGAAAGCAGAGCCGAGGGAAGGGGAGATATCATTTGAGTCCCTGGATCCAGTTGTGCCTGAAGCTAGACTCACCTGCAGGGGCTTTTTTCCAGTTAAGTGAGCTATTGATATTATTTTTGCTCGGCCGGGCACGGTGGGTCACACCTGTAATCCCAGCACTTTGGGAGGCCAAGGCAGGTGGATCACCTGAGGTCAGGAGTTCAAGACCAGCCTGGCTAACATGGTGAAACCCTGTCTCTACTACAAATACAAAAAATTAGCCAGGTGTGGTGGTGGGCGCCTGTAATCCCAGCTGCTTGGGAGGCTGAGGCAGGAGAATCGCTTGAACCTGGGAGGCATAGGTTGCAGTGAGCTGAGATTGCGCCATTGCACGCCAGCCTGGGCAACAAGAGTGAAACTCCATCTCAAAAATATATCTATATATTGATATATATTTTATAATATATAATATACATTATTTTTGTTGTAAGTGATTCAGGTTGAATTTCTGTCATTGGCAGCCAAAAGAGTCCTGAGCTCAGTAAGGGGCTCAACTGAGCCAGGACAGGATACTCTGGGACTTTTAGCAGCACAGAGCACTAGCTGGTGCTTGGAAATGATGTTTCCTCTGCTCTTGGCTAAGTGGAATCCCCAGGCCAGCATCCCCAAGATGAAATGTGCCCCTCCCTTTAGAAGGCAAGAATTGATGACAGTGAGTTTTTTGTTTGGTTTGGTTTGAAGTAGCCCAAATGTCCCCTTCCTGCCACGAGGGCAATGCAGCTTCTATCTTATGGCATCTGGGAGGAGCCATTTTTTATGGCCTGGATCACCGAGACGGGAAGAGGGAGAGCAAACCGGGGGATGGCACACTCCTCCAGGCTGGGTCCGGGGAATGTGGCTATTAGGAGGAGGACAGCCGCCACAGCAGGCCCCTGTGATGAACCATGCCTCCGCTTTTGCACACCTGATTCCTGGCTGTTAAACCCTGTAAAGAAGGTCTTATCCCCATGCTACAAAGGAGGAAACTGAGGCAGAGAGAAGGGATGCAACTCGCCCAAGATCTACAGCTGGGAAGTCGTGACACCAGGCATTGGATTTCTGACTGCCATGTTCACGGAGATAGGAAGGACACGGGGGAAGGGTGTTCAGGACGAGTTGGATGGAGGCTTGGCGTTGTGCAGCAATGGGGCAGCTGGCACATCTGCTGTGGCCACAGCAAAGAGAGGAGGGCCTGGGTGTGGAGTGGACACTGACCAGGCGGCCTTGCACTGCTCAGATAAATGAGGTTTGGCGTCCTGTCCTGCCGGGCCATTCTTTGGTGGCCTCTGTGTAAGCTGAGGCCTCGCTGTCCTGAGCCTGGCTTCTGGCTGCCGGTGAGTGGCTGTGGACCGTCTCCCGCTTGCCAGCATCGCCTTTGGTGCTTGGCTGGGTAGACAGAAATGAGTCACACTCCCCAGTCCTGCCCAAGCTCTCCCTCCCTCTGCCCGGGGCACAGGCTGCCCGGTGTAATCCAAAATAAGCAATGTGTGGCCCCAGGGGTTGGGATGGGCAGGGAGGAAGCCCCATTAGGCATTCCTGTGAGGACAGCGTCACTGAGCTGGGAGGACCCAGCTTTAGACTGGTCAGAGGACCGCATCCGTCAGAGGTCTGAGTTCGGAGATTGTCCATGCCTCCAATTAGCCACGTGGCCCTGAGCAAGTCCCCTCTGTAGCATGGAGGAAACTGATCCCGGCAGAACCTCCCAGCCAGAGGCTGCTTGTTAGTCCCCATCTTTCAGGCTCCCAACACTGTTCCACTCCGGCCTTCCTGTGGGCTGGCTCTCATCTTACCTCTCCACTCTGTAGCTAGCTCAGGTCCTGCCCGTAAACCCTTGCGTCCAGCCCCAACATGGTTAGCAAGAGCCAGGTTCCGTTGCTTGCAACCCCAAAACCCTAGCTGGAGGAGCGACTGAGGTGTGTTCCATGTCACCCCACCCGTCCCACCGCCCACATAACCGCCAGCATCCCGAAGGGGCCCAGCGTGTTCAGCCTTGCATTGTACAGTGTGTTCTGCCTCAGTCCCATGGTGGCTCAGAGCCCACCCCTGGCCAGAGCCAGGCTGAAGGAATCCATGCTGGGGGCATGGATCCAGCAAGGGAAGTGTTGCGAGAAGTGCTCTGCAGAGCCTGAGCAGGGAGCTTTCCAGAAGTGGGGTGCGGCCACATGTGTCAGAGCTGCTGGGGAGTGCCAGGCAGGATGTGATTAATGTCGGCCGTGGGTGTGACAGCCAGCCAGCCCTCAGCCTCATTGTCAGAGTGGCTCGAACGCAGCCCCCTTTCCTCTCCCCACCCCTGCTCACAGCACCCACCCCTGCTATGTGTGGCATCCCCTCTCCTCCCTCCAAGTGTACTGATCCATGGTGCCAGTCACTTAAAAATAGCATCCTACCTGAAACGTAGGCATGAGACGGAACTCCAGGAAAGGAGACAGCACCCCTCTTGTGCCTTGGAGCACACAGATTCTTGAGCAATCTGTCCCTGGTGCTGACAAGGAGGGCCTCTCGCCGGCGCCTTCTGTTCCACTGGGGAAGGGAAAGCCCGTGTTGTAAGTCCCCCCATCTAAAGCTGGCATCTCAGCTCCACAGGGCCATAGGGCTGCCCAACCAGGGTCACTCTTTCTCTGCCCAGGGGCTGGCCTGAGAACCATACCCTCCCCCTTCCTCACCCTCTCTGCTTCCCACTGGGGGAGCCCTGGCATGAGATGTGAGGGAGGGTGGGGAGGGAGGCTGGGATACTTATCCCCCATCTTTCTCCCTACAAGGTCAGCACAGGCTGGCCATGACCTTAACAGAAATTCTCAGGTCCCTCCACCTTCCACCTCACCTCCATCCCTCAGGGCCCGTTGGCCCATTGAATTGCGTTTCCTGCAGACTCTATTGTGTGGCATGGTGGGTAATAGTGAAAAAAAACCGAAGGAGCCAAAATGTCCAAAAATAGAGGTCAATTGAGTTAGTGACAACAGTGGCACTGAGGAATCCTTTGTGGAATTTAAGAAGGATCTTTTAGTCTGCTGTGTTTCTTTGAATCTGAGAAGCCATCATTTGTTATTTGTATTACCAGTGTCATCATAACCCCCATTTTAGGGGGGAAAAAAAAGAAATAGCTGGCACATTTCTTTTGACATTGATTCTAAAACACATCCTTACTTTGAAACATTACAAAGTAAAAAAATATGCAATATGGTAAAATGTAATGATTTGGAGAATGTGTTCTCCATATATTTTTAAGTTTTAAAAAAGTGGGTTAAGATATATTATGCCTGGTATTAAGAAAAAACTAACATGTCTATACATACATAAACTATCCTCATTCAACTATGACCAGATCCTATGAAATATACACATGCATACACACCCACAGGAAAAAGAAACAGGAAGGACAGCTAACAAAAGGCCAGTGGCGCGGATCGCCGCGCCGTGGGGCTACATGCACTTTCTTCTTTGTATTTTTCTATTTCCCATTTTCTGATTTTATAAGCAGACAACTAAAATAATAATCTCTACCACTGATTATCTCCTTTCCGCCTATCAGCACTTAACCTGTGCTGAATGCTTTGTAATGACGATCTCATTCAAGTCTCCAACACCCATGGGAGTAAGAATGCTGGTTACCAGCTATTCCACACACTGGGAAATGGAGGCTCAGGCAGCTATAAAGCAATGGAGCCGGGACCCAAACCCTGGTCATTCTGACTCCAGAACCGAGGCCCTTAACCATTATATTCTAGACACAAACTTCACCCTAAGGGTTTGCACCTTTTTGAGAATTTAACGCAATGTTGCAAGAGGGCACCCAAGGAAAATGTCACCCCTTTGCTGGCCAGGCAGGGACACTGAGATGCTGACCACAGAGAGCCAGCCTCACAGCACAGCCTAAACAAAGGCTTGGGGCTGCAGGGGAGGACCTCCAAGTCTCTCTGGTCCTGAAAAAGCAACGTGTCTTGTGAGCCAGTAAGGAGCCCCTTGGATGCCAGCCTGGCTGACGTAACTCAGGGCATCTCTGAGGCACTGTCAGCTGAGGCAGGACAAAGGAAGTGGATGTTCCCATGGCACCACGCTACGATGTCTTGACAAGGCCCCCTGCACCTCGTTTTGTGGTTCATTCTTATTTTGCTGAAAGGAGCTTTTCCGCTTCCTCTGAGATAAACATTCCTAACATCATTTCTTCTGAGCCGGCCAGCCAAGAGAACAGCTGGGAGCTCTCCGAGCACAGGCAGAGTGCATTCATTTTCTGGAACTCCGCTGAGAATCTTTTCTCCAGGAGACCCCAAGAAGCCATTGCAAATAAACAAAATGAAGTTGCTGGGGAAACTGGCGGCCAGGAAGCTAGAGCTGGTGTAGCCCTGGGGAGAAGAATGGAGTCAGCCCCCAGTGCTGGGGTTGCTGGTGCTGGGCGCTGCAGTTGGCGGGCGCTGGGCTCCTCTGGATCCCAGGCTCTGCCTGTCCAGAACAGCAATCCTGCACGTCCGCGAGGCTGCCCCATTGCACAGATGAGGAAGCTGAGGCTCAGAGAGGTGAAGCGAGGGGTCCCACAACTGGCATCCAGCCTGAGCATGGCCTCACAGCTCTCCCACTCTTAAAAGTCTCCCAGGTCACAGACTCCTTAAGAATCTGGTGAAAGTTACAGACCCTCTGCTTTAAAAAAAAAAAAAAAAAGTAATCCTGAAGTGCTGAGATTGTAGGTGTGAGCTGCCATGCCTGGCCCCAGTGAAAAAACATTTAAAGCTTCATTAATTAAGACCTGCCTGTCACCTTCCACCACGACTGTGAGGCCTCCCTAGCCACGTGGAACTCTCCAGCTCCAAGCAAGGCCTAGATTAAATGCCACCTTTTCTGTGAAGCCCTATTGGACTTTCTCAGGCTCGTTTTCCCTTTGGACTTCTAGAGCATCTTGTAGACAATGGCAATTATCAAGGCCTGGATATATACATTATATAATTGTTATGTAATTATTAATGTGGCACAGCACAACAAATACGGATCTTGCAGACAGAAAAAAAATTGTGGTCATCCTCTTTATGAACTTTCTTGATTGATTTCATAAAACATCTATAATCATTGTTTAATCTGAGTTTTTTTTTATTTTTTGAGATGGAGTTTTGCTCTTCTTGTGCAGGTTGGAGTGCAATGGCACAATCTCGGCTCACTGCAACCACTGCCTCCCGGGTTCAAGTGATTCTCCTGCCTCAGTCTCCCGAGTAGCTGGGATTACAGGCGCATACCGCAAACCTGGCTAATTTTTGTATTTTTAGTAGAGATGCGGTTTTGCCATGTTGGCCAGGCTGGTCCTGAACTCCTGACCTCAAGTGATCTGCCTGCCTTGGCCTCCCAAAGTGCTGGGATTACAGGCATAAATCACCACGCCCGGCCTGGTCTGGGTTTTTGGATAGCTCATAGACATGAATTCTTCAGGGCAGGAGTCTCCAAAGTGTTTAGATCATAGATCCTAATGGGCAAAACCTTTCCCGCAGGTGGCCACCATATATGTGTATCTTAAAACTTATGAATTATATATATGCATTGCTGCTCTCATATTTTATGTATAATCATAAAACTCCTGTCAAAATGGATTTTTTTTTTGAGATGGAGTCTTTCTGTGTTGCCCAGGCTGGAGTACAGCGGTGTGATCTCAGCTCACTGCAACCTGCACCTCCCAGATTCAGGATTCTCCTGCCTTAGCCTCCCAAGTAGCTGGGATTATAGGCACACATCACCATGCCTGGCCAATTTTTGTATTTTTAGTAGAGATGGGGTTTAACCATGTTGGCCAGGCTGGTCTTGAACTCCTGACCTCAGGTGATCCACCCTCCTCGGCATCCCAAAGTGCTGGGATTACAGGCGTGAGCCACTGCGCCCAGCCAAAATGGAAATTTCTAAATGCCGAGTAAAAGATTAAACAAACAACATTCTTTTTAATGTCTTGCTAATTATGATGGTTTCCATTACATCTCAAGGCAAAATATGCATTTGGGGTGAGGATTATTGTCAACAGGGATGGATTTTCTAATCTGTACTTCGAATAGACTTCTGGATAACTAGGGTTTGTGTGACTGTCCTCTGTGGGACTGACTGGCTAGCTGCCTTTGTTTTTACCTTGGGATATGTCTGATAAAGAGCTCAGGCCAGGAATAAGATAGCTGCTCTGATACGTTCTCACTCTTTACTCTGCTTGGCTTATTAGTGTTTCCTTCATTCCACAGTTCCTTTGTATGAATCTTTTTAAGGCATACATCGAATTTAGTTAGAACCAGACAAGATAGGTACCAGAAGCTACAGATCCACTCTACTAAGCCAATACTTCACCAACATATGTTGCCATATTTTAAGATCTAACACACAGGTGTGGTGGCTCAGACCTGTAATCCCAGCAACTTAAGAGGCCAAGGTGGGCGGATTGCTTGAGCCCAAGAGTTCAAGACCAGCCTGGGCCACATAGTGAGGCCCCATGTTTACAACAAATATAAAAATTAGCCAGGTGTGGTGGCGCATGCCTTTTTTCACAGCTACTTGGGAGGCTGAGGCAGGAGGATTGTTTGAGCCCAGGATGCAGAGATCGTGGTGAGCTGAGATTGCACCACCGCACTCCAGCCTGGATTGACAGACCCAGACCCTGTCTCATTAAAAAAAAAAAAAAAAAAAAAGAGCTAACAGACTGGCGATGGGACTTCACTGTGAAACTCCCATTCATCCTGCAAGTTTCCCTTGGGTGACAGCTGAGGAGCCACCACCGCAGTGCCACCAAGACTGAGGGGTGTCCCCGCCTGTGACCTCAGGTCCCCCTTCTGCCTCTTTAGTCCTCCATTCCTTGTTCCACCAATGACCAATATTAAATTCTCTCTGCTAAACTAACCAGTGCATTTTCTGTTTTTCTGACCAGACCATCATGGGTACAGAGAGCCAGCGTCAGCTCAGAGTGAATATTCATAAAACCTGATTTCTTGCTTAATCTTAAGCAATAATCTCATCTCTTCTTCCTGGTCCTCAGTGGATCACCTCACACCCCAGGGACATGATCACTGCTCTATAACATAGAACTCATGGGACATTTAATGTTAACTTAATTACCCCCATCATTGGCTTGCTGTGTACCCACTGTGGCACTGAATCATGGCACCCAAAAAGATGCCCACGTCCTAATCCCCAGAACGTGTGGATGTGACCTCACATGGTAAAAGGGACTTTGCAGATATGATTAAGTTACGTATGTTGGCAGGGTATGGTGGCTTATGCCTTTAATGCCAACACTTTGGGAGGCTAAGGTGGGAGGATTACTTAAGGCCAGGAATTCAAGATCAATCTGGGCAACATAGTGAGACCTTATCTCTACAAAAAAAAAAAAAAAAAATTAGGGCAGGGCACAGTGGCTCATGCCTGTAATCCCAGCACTTTGGGAGGGTGAGGTGGGCAGATCACCTGAGGTCAGAAGTTCAAGACCAGCCTGGCCAACATGGGGGAAATCTCGTCTCTACTAAAAATATAAAAATTAGCCAGGTATGGTGGCCCACACCTGCAATACCATCTACTGGGGAGGCTGAGGCAGGACAATTGCTTCAACACAGGAGACAGAGGTTGCAGTGAGCAGAGATCATGCCACTGCATTCCAATCCGGGTGATAAAGCAAGACTCTGTCTCAAAAAAAAAAAAAAAAAAGCCAGGTGCGGTGGCTTACGCCTGTAATCCCAGCACTTTGGGAGGCGGAGGCAGGTGGATCACAAGGTCAGGAGATCGAGACCATCCTGGCTAACATGGTGAAACCCCGTCTCTTCTAAAAATACAAAAAAATTAGCCAGGTGTGGTGGCGGGCACCTTTAGTCCCAGCTACTTGGAAGGCTGAAGCAGAAGAATGGAGTGAACCCGGGAGGTGGAGCTTGCAGTAAGCCCAGACTGCGCCACTGCACTCCAGCCTGGGAGACAGAGTGAGACTCTCTCTCAAAAAAAAAAAAAAAAAATTAGCTGGGCATGGTGGCTGATATGGTTTGGCTTTGTATCCCCACCCAAATCTCCTCTTGAATTGTAATCCCATAATCCCCACCCGCCATGGGAGGGAATTGAATCATGGGGGCAGTTTCCCCCATGCTGTTCTTGTGATAGTGAGTGAATTATCTCAAAATCTGATGGCTTGATAAGCGTCTGGTGTTTCCCCTGCTGGCACTCTTTCTCTCTTCTGCCACCCTGTAAAGAGGTGCTTTCTGCCATGATTTTAAGTTTCCTGAGGCCTCCCCAGCTCTGTGGAACTGTGAGTCAATTAAACCTCTTTTTATAAATTACCCACTCCCAGGCCGGGTATGGTGGCTCACGCCTGTAATCCCAGCACTTTGGGAGGCCAAGGCGGGTGGATCACGAGGTCAGGAGATCAAGATCATCCTGGCTAACATGGTGAAACCCTGTCTCTACTAAAAATACAAAAAAATTAGCCGGGCGTGGTGGTGGGCACCTCTAGTCCCAGCTACTCAGGAGGCTGAGGCAGGAGAATGGTGTGAACCCAGGAGGCAGAGGTTGCAGTGAGCCGAGATCGTGCCATTGCACTTCAGCCTGGCAACAGAGCAAGACTCCATCTCAAAAATAAATAAAAATAAATGGCCAGGTGTGGTGGCTCACACCTGTAATCCCAGCACTTTGGGAGGCTAAGGTGGGTGGATCACGAGGTCAGGAGATCAAGACCATCCTGGCTAACATGGTGAAACCCTATCTCTACTAAAAATATAAAAAATTAGCTGGGTGTGGTGGTGGGCGCCTCTAGTCCCAGCTACTCTGGAGGCTGAGGCCGGAGAATGGCGTGACCCTGGGAGGTGGAGCTTGTAGTGAGCCGAGATTGTGCCACTGCACTCCAGCCTGGGTGACAGAGTGAGACTCCATCTCAAAAAATAAATAAAATAAATAAATAAATAAATAAATAAATAAATAAATAAATAACCCACTCTCAGGTATTTCTTCACAATGGCCTGAGAACAGACTAATACAGTAAATTGGTATTGGTAGTAGGGTGCTGCTATAAGGATAGTTGAAAGTTCAGAAGTGACTTTGGAACTGAATAACTGGCAGAGGTTGGAACAGAGGGCTCAGAAGAAGACAGGAAAATGTGGGAAAGCTTGGAACTTCCTAGAGACTTGGAGAGCTCAGAAAACAGGAGGATGTGGGAAAGTTTGGAACTTCCTAAAGACTTGGTGAATGGCTTTGACCAAAATGCTGACAGTGATATGAAGTCCAGGCTGAAGTGGTCTCAGATTGAGATGAGGAACTTGTTGGGAACTGGAGCAAAGGTGACTCTTGCTATGCTTTAGCAAAGAGGCTGGCAGCATCTTGCCTCTGTCCTAGAGATCTGTGGAACTTTGAACTTGAGAGAGATGGTTTAGGGTATCTAGTGGAAAAAATTTATAAGCAGCAGAGCATTCAAGAGGTGACTTGGATACCCTTAAAAGCATTCAGTTTTATGTATTCACAAAGGCATGGTTTGGAATTGGAATGTGTGTTTAAAAGGGAAGTAGAGCACAAAAGTTTGGAAAATTTGCAGCCTGACAGTGTGATAGAAAAGAAAAACCTATTTTCTGGGGTTTTTTTGTTTGTTTGTTTGAGACAGAGTCTTGCTCTGTTGCCCAGGCTGGAATGCAGTGGCATGATCTCGGTTCACTGCAACCTCCATTTCCCAGGTTCAAGCGATTCTCCTGCCTCAGCCCCCTGAGTAGCCAGGATTACAGGTACCTGCCACCACGCCTGGCCAATTTTTGTATTTTTAGTAGAGACAGGGTTTCACCAGATTGGTCAGGCTGGTCTCGAACTCCTGACCTCAGGCGATCCACTCGCCTCGGCCTCCCAAAGTGCTGGGATTACAGGCATGAGCCACTGTGCCTGGCCAGAAAAGCCTATTTTCTGAGAAGAAATTCAAGCCAGCTGCAGAAATTTGCATAAGTAACAAGAAGCCAAATGTTAATTGACAAGACAACGGGGAAAGTGTCTCCAGGGCATGTCAGAGAACTTCACAGCAGCCCCTCCCATCACAAGCCCGGAGGCCTAGGAGGAAAAAGTGATTTCGAGGGGCAGGCCCTGGGTCTTGCTGCTCTGTGCAGTCTTGGGGCATGGTGCCCTGCATCTCAGCTGTGGCTAAAAGGGGCCAACATACAGCTCAGGCCATTGCTTCAGAAGGTGCAAGCCGCAAACCTTGGCGGCTTACATGTGGTGTTGGGCCTGCAGGTGCACAGAAGTCAAGAATTAAGGTCTGGGCCAGGCACGGTGGCTCACGCCTGTAATCCCAGCACTTTGGGAGGCCGAGGTGGGTGGATTACCTGAGGTCAGGAGTTCAAGACCAGCCTGGCCAACATGGTGAAACCCCATCTCTACTAAACATACAAAAATTAGCCAGGTGTGGTGGCACACCCCTATAATCCCAGCTACTCGGGAGGCTGAGGCAGGAGAATTGCTTGAACCCGGGAGGCAGAGGTTGCAGTGAGCTGAGAACATGCCACTGCACTTCAGCCTGGCCAACAGAGCAAGACTCTGTCTCCAAAAAAAAAAAAGAAAGAATTGAGGTTTGGGAACCTCCAACTAGATTTCAGAGGATGTATGAAAACACCTGGATGTTCAGGCAGAAATTTGCTGCAGGGGTGGAGCTCTCTGCTATGGAGAACCTCTGCTAGGGCAGTGCAGAAGGGAAATGTGGGATTGGAGCCCCCACACAGAGTCCCCATTGGGGCAGTGCCTAGTGGAGCTGTGAGAAGACAGCCACCATCCTCCAGGCCCCAGAATGGTAGATCTACCAACAGCTTGCATTGTGCGCCTGGAAAAGCCACAGACACTCAATGCCAGCCCACGAAAGCAGCTGGGAGGGGTGTGGGAGCCCACCTCTTGCATCAGCGTGACCTGCATGTGAGACGTGGAGTAAAAGGAGATCATTTTGGAACTTTAAGGTTTAATGACTGCCCTATTGCATTTCAGACTTGCATGAGGCCTGTAGCCCATTTGTTTTGGCCAATTTCTCTCATTTGGAATGGGTGCATTTACCCAATGCCTGTACTCCCATTGTATCTAGGAAGTAACTAACTTGCTTTTGATTTCACAGGCTCATAAGTGAAAGGGACTTGCCTTGTCTCAGATGAGACTTTGGACTTGGACTTTTGGGTTCATGCTGGAATAGTTAAGACTTTGGCAGACTGTTGGAAGTGCATGATTCTGTTTTGAAGTGTGAGGACATGAGATTTGGGAGAGGCCAGGGGTGAAATGATACGGTTTGGCTATGTGTCCCCACTCAAATCTCATCTTGAATTGTAAGCTCATAATGCCCACATGTTGTGGGAGGGACCTGGTGGGAAGTAATTGAATCATGGGGGCAGTTTCCCCCATGCTGTTCTCATGATACTGAGTAAGTTCAAGACCAGCCTGGGCAACATAGGGAGACCTCGTCTCTACAAAAAATTAAAAAGTTAGCTAGGCATGGTGGTACACATCTGTGGTCCCAGCTACTTGGAGGCTGAGGCAGGAGGATTGCTTGAGCCCCAAGAGGTCAAGGCTGTAGTGAGCTGTGAACACACCACTGCACTCCAGCCTGGGTGACAGAGTGAAACCCTGTCTCAAAAAAAAAAAAAAAAAAAAAAAAAAGAAAAGAAAAGAGGGAGACAAGAAGTTCAAAGGTAAAAGAAGGGGATGTGACTGTGGAAGCAGAGGACAGAGTGATGCGCTTTGGAGATAGAGAAGGAGCCATGAGCCAAGGACTGTAGGCAGCTTCTAGAAACTGGAAAAGACAAGGAAATAGATTCCCCTCTGAGCCTCCAGAAAGAAACAGCCCTAGCCAGGCGCAGTGGCTCACACCTGTAATCCCAGCACTTTGGGAGGCCAAGGCGGGAGGATCGCAAGGTCAGGAGATAGAGACCATCCTGGCTAACATGGTGAAACCCAGTCTCTACTAAAAATACAAAAAATTAGCCGGGTGTGGTGTTGGGTGCCTGTAGTCCCAGCTACTCTGGAGGCTGAGGCAGGAGAATCACTTGAACCCGGGAGGCTGAGCTTGCAGTGAGCGGAGGTCATGCCACTGCACTGCAGCCTGGGCGACAGAGTGAGACTCGGTCTTAAGAAAAAAAAAAAAAAAGAACCAGCCCTGATGACACCTTGGTTTTAAACTCATGGAACTCATTTTGAACTTCTGGCCTCCAGAACTGTAAGAGAATAAATTTGTGTTGTTTTAAGCAACTAATTGTGTGGTAATTATTGTTACAGCAGCAACAGGAACTTACACTCCTACCCAGAAGACAGCATAAATCCCGTAAATTTTTCTTTCCCAGTTCCCTGGAGAAAGCAAGGAAGCTCGCAAGACTTTGAAGCCTGTCCTCATAGAAAAATGTCAATCCCTACTTCAGTGTATGCTAAGATGCCAGCTGACTACTGGGAGATTCAATTCTCTTCATTAGAGTCCAACCCAGGCCACACCCCAAGGGCTGTAAGAAATTGGCACTGAAGTTTGTAAAACTCAATGGTTTCGGCCGGGCGCAGCGGCTCACACCTATAATCCCAGCACTTTGGGAGGCCAAGGCGGGTGGATCACTTGAGGTCAGGAGTCTAAGGCCAGCCTGATCAACATGGTGAAACCCCTTCTATACCAAAAATACAAATATTAGCTGGTGGTGGGCACCTGTAATCCCAGCTACTGGGGAGGCTGAGGCAGAAGAATCACTTCAACCCGGGAGGCAGAGGTTGCAGTGAGCTGAGATCGCACCACTGCACTCCAGCCTGGGTGACAAAGTGAGACTCCATCTCAAAAAAAAAAAAGGCAGAAAGACCACCAGCAAACAGTTAATAAGCACCAACTGCATACATGGTACCCATCTGGAGCTGGAAATCCAAAGTGACAAACTTAATCAGCCTCAGCCCTGACTCCTGCTCTCAAGGAGCTGAGAATTTAATTAAGCCTCTGGTTTATGTGTATTGGCATGGCCAGCTTCCACAGGAACACATGGGGGGGCTTTACTGTGTCTTACACCAGTGGTCGTTCTGATGGTTCTGTGCCAGCCTCCTAGTGAAGAGCCATCCCTGGGTAAGAGAAAAGAAGCAGGCATGCCAAGACTCAAATATGTGCAAGGAATCATACGTACGACATGTGGACCAGCAGGTTAAAAAAGTGTTAACCCCCAAACCACTCTCAAACAAAGTCTTAAGCTGAAGCCAGCTTTCAGATATGTATTATTATATAGTAATACATGTTAATATATATTAATATGCAATTTGTACATATTAGCATCAATAGGAACACAGGACCTACATATGCACACACATGTACTTACTAGAGCTGCTGTGGCTCAAATGCAAGGGCAAAATCCTCTGCTTCCTCAGGAATCCCCTAACGTGATGAGGATCACACAGCAAAGAAGACACAGGCTTCATCATCAAGCAGACCTGGACCTGTCCTTCTCGCTGTCTACACTGGGCAAGTGGCTTCTCTAAACCTCAGTTTCTTCATCTGTAAAAGGGGAAGAATGTTCTACTGGCAAGATTGTTGTGCGGGCCAAGGGAAATGAGGACATGAAACCCCAGCCACCAGCAGGTCTCAACAGGCGTCAGCATCCGGGACACCAGCCACAGCTGTGAGGCTTCAGGAACCTGGTCCACTTGACCCTCCTCGCCAGAGTCACCATCCAGACCCAGCCTTGACCCACAGCCGCTCTGGAGGGGACGGGGCAGTGGGATTTGGGATCGGGAGAACTTGGTTCAAGTCCTAGCCCTGCTGGTATCTGCTGGCCTCCCCCAGGGCCTGATTTCCCCGTCGGCCAGGTAAGGATAATGATCTATTGATTTTAAAGCATGTCACCAGGGCTAAATGAGGCATGAAAGTGCTTTGTCCCCTGGCACTTCTGCCCTTCCTGTTTTTGGTGCCAAAACCCTTAGCCTGGCCAGGCTTGGTGAGAGGCACCGTGAGGCTGCTAGCCTGAGCCCTAGCTCTGTCCCTGGCTGGCGGGCTGTCCTTTGCAAGTGACCGCTCTGCCCCAGTTGTTTCACCTGCAAATGATAACAGCCAGCACCAGCTTCGCTCATGATGGAAGCCCCGGTGTTAAGCCCCTGCCTCCGCCTCCACTTGGCCAGCTCCAGGCAAGGCGGCCACTGTGGCAGTGACTGTCAGAATTGCTCTCTTACAAGGTGCTGCTTGCACCAAACTCAGGTGGGGGTGTCTGTGTTGCAAACACAAGCACACGCACTACACACACATACACAGCACATGCCACACACATGCACACACCTCACACACCACACATACCACAGGCATACATATACACACCACATAGCACATAGAACACACACACACTCCACACACACCACATGCCACACACCACACACATACACCACACCCTGCACGTATACACAGCACATGCCACATGTATGCACACCACACACCACACATACCACAAACATACATAAACACACATCACACACACAGCACATGCCACACACATCACACATATACATATACACACCACACATAACACACATACCACACAGATACATAAACACATACATCACACACATACAAAGCACATGCCACACACATACCACACAAACACATACACCACACATACACAGCACATGCCACACACATATACACCCCACATAGCACATGTGTGTGGCATGTGGCATGTGAGAAATGTGTGTGTGTTGTGTGTGCTATGTGGTGTGTATATGTGTGTGTGGTGTGTATGTGGCACGTGGTGTGTGTGAAATGTGTGTGTGTTGTATGTGCTATGTGGTGTGTATATGTGTGTGGCACATACTGGGAATTGAGATGATTTGTGGCTTTTTATATTGTTTTTTACTGAGGTATAAGCTGTTCATAAGGAACATGTAATGCATCATAATCAGACAAAACAACACAGTCATTTACATGTTTTTAAAAATCCTGTATTTGCTTGAAAATACTCCAGAAAGAACATGTGTGTATGTCAGGGGTGGCGTGACAGAAATGGATGGAATAAGAGTGGCAAAATGTCATCTTTGCTGAAGCTGGCCAAAGGGGACTATGAGAAATCACCATATGATTCTCTTGACTTTTGAGTATGTTTGCACATTTCACAAGAAAAGGTGAAAATAAACAAACGAATAAAACCAAGGTCAGCAGTGAGTTCATCCTTGGCTTTTAGAGGATATCACAATTGCAGTGCAATAAACACAGAAAGATGAGAAACAAATATACAACAGAAATAAGGCTGCAAAACTTAACGCTAAGAACCCAGGAGCCATCAGCTGTGCGACCTCAGGTCAATAACAGCCTTATGAAGCCTCAGGTCCCTCATCTGTAAAACGGGAGGAAACCCTTGTTGCATGGCAGGCTTGTGGTTCAGACTGAAAATTCTAATTACTACTGTGGCTGCTGTTGTTCAATCCATAGGCCCTGGAAGTCTGGAAGCAAGAACTCCACACCCCAACAGTGGTTTCAAACTTTGGTGTGCACTGAGATGACCAGGGTTACTAGCAAAAATGCAGATTCCTGGCCAGGCACGGTGGCTCGTACCTGTAATCCCAGCACTTAGGGAGGCCGAGGCCAGTGTATGGCTTGAGGTCAGGAGTTGGAGACCAGCCTGGCCAACATGATGAAACCCCATCTCTACTAAAAACATAGAAAATTAGCCAGGCATGGTGGTGCGTGCCTGTAATACCAGCTACTCAGGAGGCCGAGGCAGGAGAATCGCTTGAACCAGGAGGTGGAGGTTTCAGAGAGCTGAGATCGTGCCACTGCCTGGGTGACAGAGTGAGACCCTGTCTCAAAAAAAATGCGGATTCCAAGGTCCTACCCCTAGGGATCCTGACTCCATACGTGGGGCCAGGCCTAGGACCCTCCACTTTAAATAAGACCCCAGGCCATTCCCACTGGGGAAATGCTGCATCTAGCCCCACACCAAAGACACCCGGGTAAGCAGGTCTGCCACGGACAAAAACGCCTCGCCGTGCAGAAACCGGGGCTGGACGTTGTTCGGGGCTGATTGCCCATTTATGACTCTAGGTGGACTTTGTCTGCAGTCATGGCTGGAAAAGCTGGCAAGCAACAGACACCTTTGCAAAAATAGCAAATAAACAATATGTCACATTTGTGGTTTCCTCCTGGGAGGGGCAGAGTCTATATGGGCAATTGACTTAGGGCAGAATCCAATTCCAACATGAACTAACTGTGTGGCACGGGCCGAAGCCCTTGACCATTCAGTATCTGCATGATGGGAATTTTGATAGCAGTATCAGAAACAGCCCCATGGGGTTTTGTCAATTACACGAGGCTGTCAGGAACCGAGGCCTGGAGCCAGGACCCCGTCAGGAAGTTTAGGGATCCACTGGATTTATGGCCTCCATGCTCAGGGTGTCAGGTCCCAAACCTTCTCAATCACAGGAAAGCAGGACTCAGGCCAAGGGAAGGAAGCACATGTCGCAGCTGGAGACCACACATACCTTGGCAGCACCCCAGGGAGAGAAAATTCCCTGCTGCACCAGGCTTCTCTGTGCACTTCCAGCCCCCGTCACTTAAGGAACCCCTGTCCCACTCTGAGTCTTCTTCTGAGGCCTCTGTTTGTGTTGTCCTGCTCCTGTCCTGGCCTCCAGATCCCTCCTCTCGTAGGGTCCTAGGTCTGAAGGAAAAGCAAGATGGCGGCAGTCTGGGGGAAGAGCATGTGCTTGGGGTCCCCGTGGCCCATTTCTGGGCTTGGCCTGGTCACCTGCTGCAGTCAGTATCACTCATTCAGACCTAAGCAGTAATGCCAGGCGGGTCATGTCCTCCTTGTAAAATTGTTTGTTTGGAGAATTTGTGGTGAACTCCAAATCTCTCTCTCTCTCTCAAAATTAATACCATTAGAGTCATTTGTGCTTGACTGCAGCCCTATGGAAGGGACAGCCCCACTTCTCCCCTTGCCTCTTTGTGGTTATTTGTAGGGCAGTCACAGGAAACCAGTACAATGGCATTTCCCCCTAAACATGAGTGTGGCTCTCAGCGCAATCCAGTTCACAACAAATAGCCCATCCTTGACCTATAGGACCAGGCCTCAGGAAGGGCTCGGGGGCCTCAGAGGCAAATGACACCCAGCCCTTCAACCCTGCACAACCACAGACCTCACACCCAGTGGTAACCAATTTGGCTGAACAGCACCCTACACTGTGGGCTCCCCGTGGTGCTGGGCCCCCTCACAAGGAGGCAGGGCACACCCTCCTGATCTAGCCTGAGCCCCTGAGTCCTCTCCCAACCTCCTCCCAGCGATCTCAGCTGCTCCAGCAAGGCGTGGGGCTGGTGTCCTTCAGCTGCCTCCCTCTCCAGAGGAGGAGAGGCGGCAGATGTTGAGGCAGAGGTGGAGAAAAGCTCCTGGCACGCTTGCAGCCGGGGTCACCTTGTGCACGGGCAGAGTCAGGGAAGGGTGAGACAGTAGGTGCCCTGTGTGGAAAACCAGAATCTCGGGGCCAGGACCCAGAGAATGCTGGAGGGCCCGGGAGGTCAGCGCCTGCCCTCTCCCCATGAGGGAGGCCCCCTCCCTCAGGCAGTCTGCCTACTTCAGAGTGGGGAGTCCAGGTTGTCAGTTCTGTATGGTTGATGGACCTGGTCTCATTTGCCTCTGAGGCCCCCAAGCCCTTCCTGAGGCCTGGTCCTGTAGGGCAGGGATTTCATATTTGTTGTGAACTGGACTGAGCTGAGCCACGCCGACTTCTGGGGGGAAATGACATTGTTTCGGTTTCCCTGGCTGCCCTACAAATAACCACAACACGTGTGAGTGCGGGAGGGGAGGGTGAGGTGTGGGGGGGTGAAAACAATAGCAACTTACCCTCTCACAGTTCTGGAGGCCAGGAGTCCAAAGTCAAGGTGTGGGCAGGGCTGTTCCCCCTGGAGGCTCTAGGGGAGGGTCCTCCCTGTCTCTTGCAGCCTCTGGTAGGCCCAGGCACCCCTCGGCTCCAATCTCTGCCATCCTTGCACATAGTCTCCTTTCCCCCGAAGTCTCTATGTGTTCTTTTCTGTATCTTGTAAGGACTGTCTCATTGCATGTAGGGCTCACCATAATTCAGTGTGATTTTATCTTGACTCTTACCTTAATTATCTGCAAAGACTCTTTTTCCAAATAAGGTCACATTCTGAGATTTGGGGTAGAGATAAACTTTGGGGGGACATGATTCAACCTACTAAGCCATTAAATCACAAAGAGCACGCAAGAAGGACCAAAAAGGCAGCGGGAAGTGGGGAGGACCTTGATCCAAGGACTTCCACAGCTCAGGCCTCCCTTGTTCCAGCCAGCAAGGACATTCTTTCCATGAGCACCTTTGACTTCCACTGCTAGCCAGGATGACGGGTTCCTGGCTCTCTTCTACAGATGAGGAAACTGAGGCTCAGAGGCCCTTGAATGCATAGCCAAGTTCACACAGTCAGCCACAGCTGGGACTGGAGCTCACTTGGTACCAAACCCTGGGGGTTTCACAGCCAGCTCGGCTGGATTGAAGAAGCCCCACCTCCACTCCCAATGAGGTTCCAAGATCTTTCTCCAAGGAGCTTGCTTTATCAATAAGAAATGAATCTTTTGTTTTTGAGACAGAGTCTTACGCTGTCACCCAGGCTGGAGTGCAGTGGTGGGATCCCCATTCACCGCAACCTCCCTTTCCTGGGCTCAGGCAATCCTTCCACCGCAGTCTCCCAAGTAACTGGGACTACAGGCACATGCCACCACATCTGGCTAATTTTTGTATTTTTTGTAGAGATGGGATTTCGCCATGTTGCCCAGGCTGGTCTCGAACTCCTGGGCTCAAGGGATCTACCCTCGGCCTCCCAAAGTACTGGGATTACAGATGTGAGCCTCTGAGCCCAGCCAAACTGTCTTGATGCTCACGTTATTTCACTACCTTAGATTATGAATTTTGGAATGTGGCCAGTTTCCTGGAATCACATTAAGAAGTGAGGTCCAGGAGAACAACGATTAATTTAATTATTAATAGAAATCAGCCTAGACCTGGGAAATAAGATGAGGAGACCCAACTGTCCCCAGCCTTGTCCTTGTGCCCATGTGGGAGGCCATCCTGACTCCATTTAGATTTTTGCTTCTTCCTACACTGACAAAGAACACTCGGGCGGCTCCAGGGAAATGTGCCCAAGGTGTGGAGGGGGCTGGGGGAGTGGAGATCATTTTTTTCTGTTCCCAACCGTGCCTTTCTGCAATGTCTGTTCATCCTTGAAGACCTAAGACTGGAGAATGTGGGGTTTGTTTGTTTTGGAGAGACTGGGGGGGAGGGGGGGGTCTCACCATGTTGCCCAGGTTGGCCTTGAACTCTTGGCCTCAAGCGATCCTCCTGCCTCAGTCTACCCAGTAGCTGGAACCATAGGCGTGCCAGATTCGGCTGAAGAGTTTTGTTAGGAAGTTTTCAGCACCTTGGATCATATCCTGAAAAAGTTCATTCACTGATTCAACCAATCTCTACTGTGCACTGCCCAGAACCAGAGTGTGAGCTCCACGGGGTAGGGAGGGCGCCAGCTTTGCTCTCAGCTGCCCCCGGGCGCTTGGGACCTGGAACCCATGAATGAACAGACCCCGTTCTAGATCAACAGACATTCAAAGCAGCGCTCTAGGGGAAGGGCAGGGGAGGAATGAGCGTCCAGCCGCCACGGCTCTGCTTCTTTGCCTGTGTGTAAGTGGTGGGATTTAAAGGTGGTTGGGTGCAGAGGCCCTTCCCCCACCTGCAATCCTCCGGTGCCAATGCAAGTGCCAGGGGAGGGGTGGCGTTTCTGTTTACTTCCAGCCAGGTCAGCTCCCTTGCCCCCGCCCCTGTGTTTGCATTTTCTCGGTTTGGCGAGCTGGTGGAGTAGCCGCGGAAAGAAGGCGGATTTAAAGGCTCCATTTGGAGGAGGCTTTTGGAGAAAGCTTGCACCTCCCATCACACCCCCAGGGCAAGTCAGCCGCCTCAAAAGTGCCGGTGCCGGCCCTCTGTGAGCTGAACACCTTCGCACAAACCCCCGGGAGCGGTTACTATTACCCTCATTTTCCCGGGGAGGCGCCTGGGGCTCAGAGAGGCCAAGTGACTCACCCAAGGTCACACAGCTTAGCAGTGGCCGACCCGGGATTGGAACCCGGGGCTCCGGACCCCGCGGCGGCCGTTTCTCGAAGATACCCACTACCTCCCTCTTACACCGCTCAGGAATAAAGCAGGAAGGCCGAAGGCCCCGTTTTCGCCCAAAAACAATGCTCCACGTAAATTTGCGGGAACAAAAGCCACCAGAAATCCAGCCCGGGTTTTCCGCCTCTCTGCTCTCCGCGGACCAATCGCGTCCTGACGGCCGCCGAGAGACTAGAGGCGGTGGCTCCAATATGATCCATAGCCCCCCAGGGCGGCGTGGCCGCGGCATGGGCGAATGGGATTGGGGACCCGGCACAATCACGGGCGGAGAACGGGCCGCCTGAGCCAATCAGCTAGGGAGGGGGGAGGGTGGGCCCGGCCGGCCCGGGCTGCCCGGAGAGGCGGCCACCCCGCCCACTTCTGCTGGTCCCGGCCGCCCGTCAGCCGCGAGCGCGACGATCCCTCTGCTCCTCGGCCGGTGCCTGCTCTGCCGTCGTCGCCGTCGCCGCCGCCGCCCGTCCGCCGCCCGTCCGCCGCGCGGGAGCAGCAAGGCCGGCAAGTCCCGGCAGGATCCCTCCGCGACTGCCGCCTTGCGTCCCTCCCCCTCCAGCGCCCGTTCCGCGGCCGCGGCCCCCATCGCTCCCTAGGCTGCGACGCCGCGCCCGCGGCCCTGGGTAACGGCCGGCCTGGGGCCCGCAGTGACAGACCCTGCGGCGCGGGGGGAGATGGGGGCGGCCGCCTTCCGGGCGACGACGACGACAACGACGAGGAGCAGCCGCCGCCGCTGCCGCTCACCGGCCGCTGCTGGGCACGGGCATGGGCTCGGGAAGGCGCCTCCCCGTGAGCGGCGGGCCCAAGGCAGCTCGTCGCCCCCGGCCGCCGCGGGTCCCCCTACGGCGCCCCGCGCGCGCCCGCCCGCCGGCCCCTGACGGGAGCCTTGCCCGGCTCCGGTCCCCGCCCCGGCGCCCGCCCGGCCCGCGGCGCCCGCGCGCCTTCGCCCGGACCCGACCCCGGCCCGCGCGCCCCCGGTCCCGGCGCGCCCCGGCCGCGGCCCCCGGCGCCCCCCGGCCTCCCCCGCGCGGGCCCCGGGGCGCGGCGCGGCGCGGGCGGCAGCGTGGTGGAGAAGCGCTGCCCGCTGCAGAGGGACGGCGTGTACCGCTGGTTCTCGGAGCTGCCGTCGCCTCAGCGCGTGGAGTTCCTATGCGGCCTGCTGGACCTGTGCATGCCGCTCGAGGTCCGCTTCTTCGGCTCGTGCCTGGAGGACCTGGCCCGCAAGGACTACCACTCGCTGCGCGACTCGGAGATCAAGGCCAACAACCCGGCCGACCTGGGCAGCCTCACCAACCTGACGGACGAGGTGGTGCGCAGCAAGCTGCTGGTGTCGCTGGCGCTGCTGGGCTCGGAGCAGAGCGAGGCGGCGGGCGTGCTCTACCGCAAGCTCACGCACGTGACTCCATCATCCACAACTACGGGCTGCAGCTCAACGAGGGCCGCACGGGCGATGAGTTCCTGCTGCCGTTCACCATGTCCTCCAACCACCGCGCCTTCAGCTTCCACCAGAAGCAGGTGCTGTGCCAGGAGCTCACGCAGATCCAGAGCAGCCTGAACGGCGGCGGGGGCCACCTGCCTGGCCTGCCACAAGGTGCGTGCCCGCCCCGAGTTCTGCTCTGTACCCCAACCCTGCATCCCCAACTCTGTATGCGAAGCCTCCAGCCTGCACCGCGAGCCCCCACCCAGGCCTCCAAGCCTGCGCCGCGACCCCCCCACCCACGCCTCCAGCCTGCACCACGAGCCCCCAGCCCGTGTCCCAAGCCCCATCCTAAGCCTCTGTGTCGCATCCCAAATGTGTGCCCCACCTCTCCAAGCCTCCACCGTACATCCGAAGTCCCCACCCCGTGTCCCAAGCCCCCATCCTAAGCCCGCACTCCTCACCCTAAGTCTGCACTTCAAGCCCCAAGACCGCACCGCGGCCCTGAGCCCACACCCTCAGTCTCCTCTGCGTGCCCCAAAGCCTCCAGATCTCCGCCTCGCGCCCCTTGGGCAGGAGCGGCTGCAGGGGCCCTGGGTCCGAGGATCCGCGGGAGCGGTGCGGGAGACGTCCGCGGTCAGAGCTCACAGTCCCAAGTGCCCTCCTTTCACTTAGCCGGCTGCAAACGCGATAAGGCCTTTGTCCCCTTAATGGGACCCTTGGGTGACAGATAACACACATTGCGGCGCCTTGGTTTCCCCAAATCTGGTATTTATTACTAGAAAAGGAAGGAGCCGTGGCCATGCCAGAAGCCGCGGGTGAGGTGAACATTGCAAGGCACCGGCCTTCGCCTTCTGAGCTGCTCACTCCATACAGGTGGAGGCCCTGCTTGGGGCCTGTGTTGCTGGGGGCCTGCGCGCGGGACGTGGCTGTCCGTGTGAGCTCATTTATGGACACGTGCATGCTGTATGATGTACGCGTGTGTCGCATGTGGGTATGTATGTGTGCACACGTGTGTATTTATGAATGTGCACATGCCTGTGAGCGTTGTGTGTGATCGTTTTTAAGAGCCGGGCTACCTGTAACAGACAGAAAAAGACTCCTAGAGCCTTAAATGCCCATGAAACCTATTTATTGGCGACCCTTAGAAACAAAACCCAGGCTGACGTTTGAGTAGGAGGGCACTGGTGCCTTAAAGAATGTTAGGTTAGGTTAAAGATCTCCCGTCTCCAAATTGAACCGGAAGGGCATCCTGGCCATCCACTTAGCGATGTGAACTTTTGTCTAAGTGTTTCAGAACTGAAAACGCAAAGTGTTTGGGGCTCCAGCTATTTTGAACAGGCCCCTGCAATCCAGTGCCAAAATTTTGCTACCGGAAGAGATTACTTTGACCTGGTGTGATGTGTATTTAGATTACAAACTGATTATTTTTTTGGAAGGGAATAGGTTGCAGTCGGGACCAGTCTTGCTGAGTGCCTCTTTGCAGTGTCTTTAAGCTCTTTGAAGTTAAAACTTTGATAAGACTTTGCTTTTATGAGTGGCTGAGAACACCGTCTGGTTTGCTAGGTTTTTTGTGTGTGTTTTTAAAGCTGTCTTTCAATCCTAGGTTGTGGCTTTTCTTTTTTAATGTCTTCCTCTAAGAAGTGGTTGTGGTACATACATTGGTTTTTTTGTGTGTGACATTTATCTCCAAGACTATAGTTTTCTTTTTAAGTTCAGCTCCCACCCTACATTTCAGGCTGTGTGCTGCGCAGAGGGTCCTAGGAAATGTAGTTGTTTCTAGTAATCCATGTAAGCCTTGACATGCCAGCAAATTGTCGCCTATTCATGGAATCTCAGTCATTTATGGTCAGTTTCATGTGCTGTTTGTTACTCCTTTGTGTAGATTCCACCCACTAATAATTTCTATGGCTGTTGCTACAGTAAAGTCATCTCTTTAAGGGGATTCTTAATGTGTGAGCACGGGTGCATCACTTTATGCAGACAGTGGTGATTATTATTTTGGTTGGGCAGTGAGCTAAACCTGGAACAAAAATGTCTTTTATAGGAGAGCCTTTCTGTCAAGCAGAAATCCCTTTGACGAGATGAAGGAGCTAATCTATTCGTCTCAGCTCACCCCTGCACCGCCCCCCCTCCCCCCCAGCCCCAAGGCCATGGGCACTGAATTTACCAGCCGTGCAACCTTGGCCAGGATCCTTCTACCTCTCAGTGTTGTCCCTATTGCAGTGGAGGGGATGTAACCTACCTCACAGGCTTGTGTTGAGGATTACATAGGTAACATACGTGAGCTTCCAGCAGAGGTGCAGTAAATGCTGCTTTCTCCCTTATGGCCTCTCCGGCTTTTAACATTTATTTTTATAGAGGTATGCTAACTTAAAGCAAGACATGTTTTATAGATTGAATTATTTACATCTTGGCTATGAGCTTTTATGTGTTCTAAATTGGTTTTTGAATAGTTACTTGGAGCTGACAATTTTTTTGTTTCATCTTTGGAAAACTGGAAGATTCTGTGACCCTTAATGAGAGGATTATTATAAGGAGTAACCTTGGGCTGTCATTTCCGTATTTCAAAACAACCGTGGATTCTAGTTTTCCCTACATCCCTAGTGTCACTGCTAAGCTAATTTCAGCCCCATTCATTTAACTTTCGTTTCTGTGCTGCTTCAAAGCTAAGGCTGACGTTGATGAACCCTTTATTGCTTGGAGCAGGCAACTCAGATGAAATCTAGCATTTAAGTATTTTGCTTTCTTAGTTTCTAAATATTCCTGAAAAAGCAGCCCCATTAAAGCTGTCTGCATTCTTTTGTAAGCCTGTTGTATTTTGTTTTGAACTCTTTGAGCTTAGAGATTTTGTGTTTTTCTTTTAGAGATACAAATGTTAATTGCTTTTTAAATTCTTTATCCAATTTGAATTTTTATTTCTTGGCCTGGCAAGGTGGCTTACGCCTGTAGTCCCAGAAGTTTGGGAGGCCAAGATGGGCAGATCGCTTGAGCCCAGGAGTTCAACACCAGCCTGGGCAACACAGCAAAACCCTGTCTCTACAAAAAATACAAAAATTAGCCAGGAGTGGTGGCACACATTTGTAGTCCCTGCTACTGGGGAGGCTGAGGTGGGATGATTACCTGATCCCAGGAGGTAGAAGCTGTAGGTGAGGTATGATCATGCCACTGTACTCCAGCCTGGGTAACAGAATGAGACCCTGTCTCAAAAAATTTTTTTTAAATTTATTTTAACTGTATTTTCCGAAATAGTCATTATTTGCAATTCCTTATCCAAACCCTGTGTTTTTATTTAAAAATTCTTATTATTCTGAGGACTTCTAGAGGTGTAAAAGTAGGGGGAGTATAAAGTAGACATACCTGTGTTTTACTTTCAGAAAGAAAAATACTTCCAGTAGCCACACTGATGATAGGCTGAATTAGTTGTACTCTGCCTAGTGGCGGGTAATGCTGCTGCTTGCTGCTCCTGCAGTCGCCTGTTCCAGGGTGCCAACTGTGGGGGATAGTTGGCTTAGACTTTCCAATGCCTATTTTACGTAAATAAAAGACCATAGTTTTGGAAATAGTTAAATCCTTTGCAGTTTTTTCTTTTTGTCAGTGATAATAAATATGCTATGGTATGTGCACATGCTTATTCTTATTTTAAAAATAACAGCTTTATTGAAAGAGAATTCATATACTATATATACTTCACCCTTTTAAAGTGAAGTCAGTGGTTTTTAGTATAGTCACATAGCTGTGCAAGCACGACCACTGCCACTGAATGTTTCCATCACCCGAAAAAGAAACCCAGTGCCTATTAGCAGTCGCTCCCCATTCCCCCTCCCCCCAACGCTTGACCACCCCTTTTTGTCTCTATGGGTGTCTTTTTTGGACGTAGCATGTAAGGGGACCACACACCGTGTGGCCCTTTGTGACTGGCTTCCTTCACTCTGGTGATGTCAGGGCCCCTCCATGCTGTGGGTGTGTCAGCACTTCCTCCTCTTTCGCAACCGAGTGGCGTTCCCGTGTGAAGAGGCCAAGCTGTGCTCACGCGTTCTTCAGCGGGTGGACCTTGGGGTTGCTTCACATGCTTGCTTGTAGACTTTTGTCTTCATGGTTAATAGGCTCTTTATCTTCATCCCCGTGCACTGTGCCTAACACTTAGAGCATCCTCTGTGGACCGCTGGCGTACGTGTCGGTGCAGGGCTGTCCTGAGGGCTCCTGTTCCACCTGGTAGATTGCTAGGTGCGGTGTGCAGAGCTGTGTAGGTGTGGCCTCAGCCAGCCTGGGGAGCTGCAGGTGGAGGTGGCAGGGAACTCTGTGCTGTCAGTACAGAGCCTCTGGGCTGGTGCATTTGGTCAGCGACAGGTATGGGGGAGCAGGGCCTGGTGGGCAGGGGCCTGAGCTTCAGCTGTGAGGGCCCTGCTGTTTGTGTTTCAGCATCCTCAGGGTATGGATAATGAACTGCTTCATGGGGCTGATTTTTTTAAGGGGGTACTAAAAAAATGATGTTTTTAAAGTTTTTGGTGCAGGGGTGTGGTGGGGGTGGTGGTCTTCCTTTAGGGATATGTTCTGTGGAACAGTTCTGGAACTCTCTGTGGCTTGCATTGTGAGTACCTGAGGGTAAGCACTGTAGAAACTTCAGATAGACACAAATGCTGTGAATAAACCTGCTGAAAATGTCTGTCTAAAGATCAGCAACAGCTTTTGCTTTGTTGCTTTTTGTAAGCTGTTGAAAATCATTGCAGTTCAGAGGTGAAACATGGGATAGTTCATCGTCTGGTTATCAGGCAAAGTGGTTTCTCCCTTAGCCCTAAACTCTGGGCCGATTGCAGCCAAGAGTCATCTAGCATTCCATAAGAACAGACTCTCTCTGGAGCAGCTGTTGTCACTGATGGTTAAAGGAATAGCTGTGACCTAAAAGCACTGTTTTGTCTCCATCTTTAACACTCGTTCTCCTGGGCAGCTGGGAACCGCCTGGTCTATGAACTTGTCTGTGAACTAAGTCTTCTGGCTGTCTTTGTATACGTTGCTTTTTTTTTTATTGCATTACAGGAGATACAGGAAATAATATTCTAACTCATAGTGGATCTTTATTTTTATTTTTATTTTTTGGCCAGCTGTTACAGGTCTAAAACACTGTGCTGTTTCATAGTACAGTACAGTACATGATACGGGAATTGAGTCATGTGCTGCTTAAGGACACAGATACGTTCTGAGAAAAGCGTCCTCAGCTGATCTTGTTGTGTCAGCACCACAGTGTGTACTTGCACAAACATGGGTGGCAGAACCCGCTACACCCCTGGGCCACATTGTAGAGCCTGTTGCTCCTCGGCTATAAACCTGTGCAGTGTGTTACTGTACTGAATACTGTAGGCAGTTGTAACCCAGTGGTATTTGTGTATCTGAACACAGAATAGGTACAGTAAAAATGCATTATTAGAATCTTAGAGGATCCCTGGTCCGTGTGGTCTGTCAGTGGTGGAAGCATCCTTATGCAGTGCGTGACCGTGCTGGGATGCAGTTCTGATTGCTTTCTTGGTGGTAGTATTTTTGTTGATGCCATGATGGAGCTGCAGTAGCACTGCCATCTACTGTGTAATGGCTTGGATTATGTGGTACTTTAATTACTGTCCTTTGCCCTCACATTAAATGAAGGCCATTTACTTTGATATGAGCTAGTTCACACTTGCCTCATTTAGTTGAACACACATTTGAGTTTTGCTGTTTTCTACTGTGTTCTGGAGCACAGTTGTAGAAACTGGAAATTCTGTGTCATATTTGGGTATGATGAGTAATATGATGGTATCATTTGTTCAAGTGCGAAGATAATTGCAGATAAGCATCTGCGTTAGTCTTGTCACTGCAGGTGAAGCTTACCGTTTACTTAGGCTTTAGTTTACCCATTTTCTCTTTAGTCCTGTAAACTTCATCTACCTTTTGGTTTAACATGCTTTTCCAACAAATCTACATGAGTCTTAAAACTTCAGAGTCCAACTAGTAGAATAGAATAGTAAGAGGTACTTGCACTGGGGCATCTTTTTTTGTTGAATTGATGACGAAGAAATTTTTGTTATGCTAGGAAAAATTTCTACTTTAGTGTTCTCCCCCGCCCCCCACCTTAGAGGGATTAGATTTTAGAAAAAGATCCTTCTTTTTTTTTTTTTTTTTTTTTTTTTTGAAAAACTGCCAGTTGGAACAGTAGTTATCTTGTTAGTTTAAGTAAGAAGTGTAGCTGCAAGTTACTTAATTAGGGTACATTATTGAAGGGCTTTTGGTTTTGGACTTCAGTCTTAACATACTCAGTTTAGAAATTAGTTTTAGCAAGGTAATTTTTTTCTCCAGTCTCTGTAGATGTTTTTATTGTAGAGAGACCTGACACATTGTAGAAACATTTCCTGTCAAAGGTAAAAAGAGATCATCCAGAATGAACAAAATACGTTAATTCTTAGCAGTTTCTGTTTTGTTCTGGGTTAAAAGACCTGAAGCTACTTAAAGTGAGAAGACAGAAGCAAGACAGAATTGCTCTTCTAGCAGCCGTGTGTCATGTCTGATCAGAGCATGATTAAGCAGGACAGGATTTCACATGTGGGCCACAAAGCCCTGGACCTGGCCGCTCACCCTGAGAGGGGCACTGTGGACCCCACCCGCCATTCACTACCCAGCTTGCCAGTGGGGTGGGTGCTTTGCAGGCTCACAGAAAAATCACTCGCCCTTGAAATGTCTTATCTGGGCCTGGACACCTCCTTAGTTTCTCTTGTGTTTCCTTTCTGTGTAAGGCTGGTCCCTCACCGCTGGTTTGATCACAGCCCTCTGTTTCCTCAGGGTCACTGGTAGGTCAGCGTTTGAACTTTGTGATTTCTGTCTCCCTCCTTCAGTCCAGTCTTTGACCTCTAGCCTCACCTGACCCATAAACCATAATGGTTCTCTGATTTGTATTTTCAACAAAACCCCGCCTTTAACACCACTCACCTCTACCAGCCAACAAAACCCCGGCTTTAACACCACTCATCTCTACCAGCCCCTCTTCTCTTGGTCGCTTCACCACCGAGGCCTCCCTGAGCAGCTAGCAGAAAAGGCCTTCCATCCCGCTGGGTGGTGCTGGTCCCTGCGAATAGGTTGCTGTGTGTCTTTCCAGACGTGTTTGTGCACATATATGTTCATACGTTCTTTCAAGAAACCATACACATGCTTAGATACACGTAAGATCTTACATACACGCTGTTCTTCATGCTGTAACATGGCCACGCTTCGTGAAGTCACTCCTGCTGTCTCTAGTTCCTCACTTTCAGTTATTCCTCAGCCTCCTGTGACCTGCCTTTTGCCTTGAACCTCTTTGACAAAAACAATTTTTACAGAAAAGTATTCAGCAGGTCTCTTCAGTGAAGAAAGATTTTAAATCGGTAATGTAACCAGAGGTAGGAAATGGAAAAGTGCCAGAGGCTGCTGCATGGAAAGTCCCTTCTCCCACAGATGGCAGGGAAGGGCACCCAGGACGTTTTAAGGGTCAGGCAAGGTTCTCCTTTCCCTGGGTATTGATAACTTTTATTTCACATGTAAAAAACATGTTTCTTACCCTCTTCCCAGCCATCCAGTTCCCCTCTTTGCAGACAGCACACTTCCTCTTAGAACCTTCCAGATAAACCATATGTATTTACAAGTAGGTACCTGATGTCCCACTGCACACACAGGTGCCTCCTGGTCTTCTCTTGGCAGTCTTTCCAGATGAGGCTTCTCTGTCAGTCCATAAAGAGCTTGTTCAGTGGCACAAATGTGTTATTTAATCAGGCCCTGTTGATAACATTTTGTTCCATCGTATTATTACAAACCAGTGCAGTGTCATTTACATATTATATACATATCACCTACATGTTACAGACAACAGATGGGACCTTTCACATTCAGGTAAGTCTACCTGTGAAGTAGAAATCTGGAAGTGGAGTTGGGTCAAACGGTCTGTGCTTTTGTAATTATTTTACCTGTTGCCGAGATCTGCTTTTAGAATTCCCACAGCCATGTACAAGGCCTGTTTCCCTAACCTTTAACGAGCCCAGTGAGTTAGCCACTTGCTGGTTGCAGCCATTCAGTTAGGTGGAGACTTACCCTGGTGTGGTGTAGTTTTATCTTAGGAATGAGGTTGAATATTGTTTCAAGTAAACTATTTCATTGATATTTGGTGAGCTGTTTGTCTCCTTTGCTCATCTCTGTTGAGTTGTTGGTCTTTTCTTTTTTTAATTTTTACTTTATTTGAGACGGAGTCTCACTCTGTCACCCAGGCTGGAGTGCACTGGTGTGATCTCGGTTCACTGCAACCTTTGCCTCCCGGGTTCAAGCAATTCTCCTGCCTCAGCCACCCAAGTAGCTGGGATTACAGGCACGTGCCACCAAGCCTGGCTAATTTTTTTTTTTTTTTTTTTGTATTTTTAGTAGAGATGGGGTTTTGCCATGTTGACCAGGCTGGTCTCAAGCTCCTGACTTCAAGGGATCCACCCACCTCGGCCTCCCAAAGTGCTGGGATTCCAGGCGTGAGCCACTGCGCCTGGCTGGGTTCTTAGTTTTTAGAAACTCCATAAGTTTCAAGGAATCATCTTTAGTAGGAATTGCATGTATTTGTTTTCTGGGTTTTTAATCTTGTCTTTTGACTTTGCCATGCAATTATTTTCTTTTCTTTTTTTTTTTAATGCTATATTTATCAGTCCTTTTTGGTGTGGCTTCTGGGTTTCGTGTCATAATTCATAATGTATAATGCGTTTCTCATCATACGTATTGTACATATGCATGTATTGTGCATACATAATACACATGATGCCCCGTACATTCTAAAGACAGCCCCCTGCAGTGTCGCCTGGTATGGAACTTGTGTCATTCTCTTTTTATATCAGACGGATCCATCTGGAATTGATTTGGTATAAGGTACAAAGTTAGTTTTATATTTTCCAGATGACAGCCCATTTGTCCCAGTGCCATCTGTTAAATAGCCTCTGCTCTCCCTCCCAGATCTGAGCTGTCTCTCGTTTACTCCCACATCTATTTGGGTTCACTTCTGGACCCTGCGTTCTGCTTCATGGATGTCTCCATCCAGATGACCTCATGTTGGCCAGGTTCGTTGGATACTCTTGGTTTTGTTTCTTACCTCTCATTTGTTCTTGTGGGTTTCCTACACAGAGGAATCCCCAGGAAGGGTTTTTTTGGGGGGGGTTTGTTTGGAATAAATATGGCTGCGAGGCGCCTGCTCCGGATGGTGGCTTCTGCAGCCTGGGTGTGCCGGGCCGGCTGGGATCTCGCTGCCTCCGCCAGTTCTGGCACTGCTGGTTTTCCTCTTCTCTGGACATTTGTTTTCAGTTTCTCCTCTGCTTTCCTGCACTTTTGATGATATTATTCCTCAGACTTCTCTCCTTTTTCTTCTTTCTTTTTGCTTTATAATTCGTGACCTTTTTAGCTGTGGTTTTGCCAGTCTCACTGATGAGTCCAAAAAACCTAAAGGCTCAACCAGACCTCCAGCTGCCCCTGAAGGTTCCCAGTAGCTCAGTGTGGCAAAGGCGGGTTTCTGTCTTCCAACGTGCCATGGTTCCCATGTTTCCCCCAAAGTTTGCATCTTAGAAACTTAATCCCCAGTGCAGCAGTGTTGGGATGTGGGTAGGTCACGAGGGCTCTGCCACTGCCATTACAATGAGGTAATATCCTTGTCACCTGAGAGTGGTTTTTGTGAAGGCCGGTGTGGGGCTCCTCTTGCTGGCTTGCTCTCTGGCTCTCTCGCCCTTTCCCCTTCTGCCTTCCACCATGGGATGTCCCAGCAGGAAGGCCCTCAGCAGATGCAGGCTCTTACTGTTGGACTTTGCAGCCTCCAGAACTGTAAGAAATACATTTCTTTTCTTTATAAATTACCTGCTCTGTGGTATTCTGTTACAGGAACACAAAACAGACCAAGACACTAACCCTGACCTGCTCTGTCCTTCCCTTCTAATCCCCTCCAGCCAGAGGCCGAGGCCTGTCATAGAGATGCCCTTTTTTATCCCCTCCAGCTGGTTTATGACCAAGTCCTAAATATCTTTAGATTTGTCTCCAGTGACACCGTTACAGCCCCGGTTCAGTGTTCCCTCAGGGTTTCCCTTTCTTTCCCCCTGTACTTTCCTTTCTTCCTCTCCTTCCTTTCCCCTCCCACTTCCCCTTTCTCCCCCGTTTCTCTCCCTACCACACTTGCCATGGTGGTCACATACATGGCACACTTCTCTGGACGTAGGCTTAGATTTGAGGCAGTATGCCAGGGAAGCAGGACATAGATTAGAATAGTCTTCAGGAAACCAGCATGGCCCCAGCCTAGCCTAACTCCACTTTGCTTCTGATCAGAAATCCGTGTTAGAATGCAAGTCAGTTGATGTCATTGTGTAAAGTCTACAAGAAACAACTTCGTAGCTGCTCCATTTTATTTTCTGATTAAATAGTTTAGAAGCATTGGTACCTTAACTCTTTTTAGAAATAACACTAATGTGCCCAACTCTGATCATGACCTAGGTCTAGCCTCATTAACATTCTAGTCTCCTGGCCTGGGTCTGCCCACTGTAACCCTTTTTGGTCTCCCTGGCCTGGGTCTGCTTCCATAACCCCCTCTGGTCTCACTGGCCCCCTCTTAGTCTCTAACATCAGTTCCCTTGTGTCACTGGAATGGTCCTGGTCAAATGCATGCAGGAGCCTCATTTCTGGCTTACGGGTCTTAGCATGATGTGCCATGGCCTTTGTGATCTGCCCCCTGCCTGTCCGTACACACCTCTGTCTGTGGGCGCAGTTCCTCCTACTCACTGTGTTTTCTCTCTCCTGTGTCCTTGGAGAGGCTGTTTTCTCAGACTGGACACTGGTTACCTGTGATACCCCCATCCCCATTATTGGTTCGTAGATACCAGTCATTTTGTTGTTGCATCCTTATCCTAGACCTTATGTGCTGTGTTCTATTTCTGCCCAAGACTTTGACTTTGGCAGAGACTGACTTTTTAAATCACTAGAGCCTAGCAGTTCCTACCACCTACTAGGGGCTCACCTGTAGAGCATCTGTTAAACCTAGGGGCAGGAGGTGTTGGGTGGATGAAAAGCCGCCATAATACAAGTGCTTTTTTCCCTTTTGGTTTTTCTTTTCAATGGCCACAGTAGTAACTCCTGTTACCAACTCATACTTTTTATCTTTTTAATTTTTGCTTTTATCCAATGACTACCTCTCATATATTATGTAGCTGTAGATTCTGGTGAAGTTTAACTTGAATTTTAACATTTGTATTCTACTTTCTTATTTTTATTTATTTATTTTTTTGAGACACTGTCTCGCTCTGTCGCCCAGGCTGGAGTGCAGTGGCGCGATCTCGGCTCACTGCAAGCTCCGCCTCCCAGGTTCACGCCATTCTCCTGCCTCAGCCTCCCGAGTAGCTGGGACTACATGTGCCTGCCACCACGGCAGGCTAATTTTTTGTATTTTTAGTAGAGACAAGGTTTCACTGTATTAGCCAGGATGGTCTCGATCTCCTGACCTTGTGATCCGCCTGCCTCAGCCTCCCAAAGCGCTGGGATTACAGGCGTGAGCCACCGTGCCTGGCCCTACTTTCTTATTTTTAACTTTATATTTTTCAAAAGCTGGCATGCAAGGCAAGGTGTGCACTGGCTCACACCTGTAACCCCAGCACTTTGGGAGGCCAAGGCAGGTGGATCACTTGAGGCCAGGAGTTCAAGACCAGCCTGGCAACAGGGCAAAACCCCATCTCTATTTTTAAAAAAAAGAAAAAGAAGAAGAAAAAACTGGCCTACAAAAGCTTTCATTGGGAAAAACTCTCTGACATGAGAGTTGGGCTTTAGGTTACCTGGGTTGCATGCATACAAGGTTGTGAATGCGTTAGCTGAGAGCTAGGAAGAAGCTGCGTGGCATCATGATGCTTTGGTGGCCTCGTCTCCTGTGGAGGCATGTGTGTGGATGAGTTGATTTCCATGGAGTAACATTTTTAGTTCTGCATGTAAGTTTGTCTGGATTATATTTATTTAATGCTTTTAAAACTTTAAATCATGGTAAGCCTCGATGTTTTAGTTTGCTACGTAATGTCTGTTTTAGTTTGCTACATAGTGTCAATAAATTGAAAAAGTGTTACTCATTCTAATTAAGGTTTCATTTGTATTTCTTTTATACTTTCAACAGTGACATTAGATTAACTCTTAAGAAGGGAGCATTATGGAATCATTTGTTTAATTATTTGGGACATTTGCATAAAAGCATCAATAGAATTACCAGAAAGAAATTATATCCTTAGGTTTTTTTTTTTTTTTTTGAGACGGAGTCTCGCATTGTCACCCAGGCTAGAGTGCAATGGTGCAATCTCAGCTCACTGCAACCTCTGTCTCCCGGGTTCAAGCGACTCTCCTGCCTCAGCCTCCTGAGTAGCTGGGATTACAGGCACCTGCCACCACACCCGGCTAATTTTTGTATTTTTAGTAGAGACAGGGTTTCACCATGTTGGTCAGGGTGGTCTTGAACTCCTGACCTCAGGTGATCTGCTCGCCTCGGCCTCCCACAGTGCTGGGATTCCAGGTGTGAGGCACCACGCCCAGCCTATCCTTAGGTTTCTTACTGACTCTGATTAAAACATGTATATATAGGAACTAGTGCTAGAAGGATTATAGTCTAGACTTGAAAAAAGATTAAACTGTTTGAAATAGGAAGAGATTTAGTGTATGGGGAAGAGGAACAACCCTCACCCCTACTCTGTTTTGGGCATTTTAATAAAATTTAGAAGCCTGAGAATAATACTAACAACCTAGTTATTAGTAAAATTAGTAAAATTGGCCAGGCGCTATGGCTCACACCTGTAATCCCAGCACTTTGGGAGGCCGAGGCAGGCAGATCACAAAGTCAGGAATTTGAGTCCAGCCTGACCAATATGGTGAAACCCCATCTCTACTAAAAATACAAAAATTAGCCGCGCGTGGTGGCGGGCGCCTGTAATCCCAGCTACTCAGGAGGCTGAGGCAGGAGAATCGTTTGAACCCGGGAGGCAGAGGTTGCAGTGAGCCAAGATGGCGCCACTGCACTCCAACCTGGGCAACAGCAAGACTCCGTCTCAAAAAAAAAAAAAAAATTAGTAAAATTAATGAGATACTTTGAAAGCACGGAGTATTTAGGTTGTATGGGAAGGACTGTGTGGTGTGTAAACTCCACCCGGACACAAATAGATACTCACAGAACTTGCACGCCACCTCTGGGAGATTCTCCTGACTCCAGGTTCCTGGTAGAGTATCTTTCATATGTGAGAACTCAGGCTATTTTCCAGTCGGTTCCTGCCTTCACTGCACCCCGACTCCCGGGCCTTTTTTCTATTCTTTTCCTCGATTCTGTTTCTTTTCCACCACTGATCAGTTTCGCCTATTCTAAAACTTCATTTAAGCAGAATCATGGAATTCCTGTTGGCTGCGTGATTTTAGTGGCTGGTCTAGGGATGACAGTGTAGATTCTGAACTTTCCACATTGCATTGTGCCACACGTCGTGCAGTGTGTCATTTCTCAAAGCACTTATATGTGTGGGTTGTTTTTTAAATAGGTGGAAGGCTTTTAAACCAGCATACCATTAATATTGTATTGAGGAAGTTAATTTATCAATGTTATTTTTCCTTTTACAATTGCTAATAAAGATATGAGGTGAGGAGCAGCAGGCTACAGAGAGGAGTGATGCCTGGGGGCGTGTCAGTGTTTTAGGCACCTGCAGTGATCGGCAGCAGACTTGGGAGCAATGCGGTGGAGGCGTGTCATTGTTCCCCAGGTGTGATGCGATGAGGGGCAGCAGGCTCGGGGATGCGGTGGAGGCATGTCGGTGTTACCCAGGTGTGATGTGGTGAGGGGCAGCAGTCTCAGGGGGATGCGGTGGGGGCGTGTCGGTGTTACCTAGGTGTGATGGGGTGAGGGGCAGCAGGCTCAGGGGGATGCGATGGAGGCGTGTCATTGTTCCCCAGGTGTGATGCGGTGAGGGGCAGCAGGCTCAGGGGGATGCGGTGGGGGCATGTCGGTGTTACCCAGGTGTGATGCGGTGAGGGGCAGCAGGCTCAGGGGGATGCGGTGGGGGCGTGTCAGTGTTCTGCAGGTGTGTGCGGTGAGGGGCAGCAGGCTCAGGGGGATGCGGTGGGGGCATGTCGGTGTTCCCCAGGTGTGATGCGGTGAGGGGCAGCAGGCTCAGGGGGATGCGGTGGGGGCGTGTCAGTGTTCTTCAGGTGTGTGCGGTGAGGGGCAGCAGACTCAGGGGAGCCATGTGGTGGAGGCATGTGAGTGTTCCCCAGGTGTGTGTGGTGAGGGGCAGCAGGCTGCAGGGGGATGCGGTGGGGGTGTGTCGGTGTTCCCCAGGTGCAGGAGGCTGCTCTGAGGGTGTCGCATGTATTTCATTTAATCCTCATAACAGCTCCATGAGTTAGGTTCTATTTTTGTCCCCATTTTAGCAATAAGAAAACAGACACAGAGAGGTTAAGTATAAATAATTTGACAAAGATGACATCAGTGAGTGGCTATTTTTATTATGTGAAGTTAAAATTGTTTATGTGTTGACTTCATCATTTAAAGTGAGAGGAAGAACCTGAGGAATATGAAATGAGACGAGGAAGAGAGCCCCAGACTCTGCGGCTGGTAGAAGTAGGGAGTGTGACCTCATCCCCGGCTTCTTCCAGCTCTGCTGATGCCCGGGGCTGCCCCAAGTGCGCGGCCGGCCCTGGGCGGGATCCATGTTCTTGGTGACAAAGCTCCTCTCCCTGCCTTCGCCCCAGCGGCTCGTTTTTATTCATTCAGCACAGAGTGTGTAACTGATAGTCCTCAGTACCGCAGTCTAATATTTTGTTGGGGTTCCTTTTTTTCTTTTCATTTAAGGGTAAAACCTACATTTAGTGAAATGCACATATTTTAAGTGTGTCATCTGAGTGTTTTCACCAGTTCAGTTTTTTTTGGTTTAGTTTTTTTTTTTTTTTGAGATGGAGTCTCGCTCTGTCAGGCTAGAGTGCAATGCAGCGATCTTGGCTCACTGCAACCTCTGCCTCCCAGGTTCAAGCAATTCTCCTGCGTCAGCCTCCTGAGTAGCTGGGATTAGAGGCACGCACCACCATGCCCTGCTAATCTTTGTATTTTTATTAGAGACAAGGTTTCACCGTGTTGGTCAGGCTGGTCTCAAACTCCTGACCTTGTGATCTGCCCTCCTCAGCCTCGCAAAGTGCTGGGATTACAGGCGTGAGCCACTATGCCCGGCCACCACTTCAGTTTTGACAGAAGCAATAAGCCTTGAAGGGGTTTTGTGCGGTATGACCATTGCCCAGAGAATTCCCTCCCACCATTTTCCAGTCAGTTCCCACCTTCTCCCACCCCCAACCCCCAGGCCTTAAAAACTCTTTCTCCCTCTGTTCTGTTTCTTTTCCACCATTGATTAGTTTTGCCATTTCTAAAACTTCATTTAAGCAGATTCATGGAATTCCATTTTTTATCTGTTGGCTTCCTTTGTTGCATGATTTTAGTGGCTGGTCTGGAGATGACACTGTAGATACTGAACTTTCCACAGTCTGCTTAGAGTTAATACTGTACCCCGCCTTGTGCAGTGTAAGAAGCTGGTCACTGTCTTGCAACCAGGTGCCTTCCCGGTCCTTGCTGTGGCAAGTGTACATATTACATCTATGCTATAGACATCACAATATATATAGTATTGTTGTTTGCTTCAGTATGAATGTACCTTTAAAAAAATTACGAGGAAAATATTGTCTTTTATATATACTCACATATTTACCTTTTTTCCCCCAACCCCTAAGAGTGGGGGGACTCTTGCCTCACCTCCCTCTTCTCTCACTCCTTGTGCCCACTGCCCCCTTGGTGTCCTCTCTGGTTGACTCCAGCTGCCCCTCCCTCCACAGGGCCTGCAGCGTCTCCAGGTCCCTGACCCTTGGGTGGCATCCCCTGCCTCTTCCTCAGGGCCCTGCAAACCTCTCCTCTCATTTCACCAGGAGCTCCTTTTCTTCCCATATTTGTGTAAATGAATTCACATATTTTGACTTAATTGTCTCAGAATGGCCCAATTTGGAGTTGGACTTTTCTGATGCTCATAAAATTCAGGAGGTGGTTTTTAATCAGTTAGTTCTGCTACGGCTGCCTCCTCAGAGAAGGGAACAGTTTCTTGTTCTTCTATTTTTTGTTTTTTAATGTTGTTGCTGAGGACAATTTAATTTGATCTCTGAATCATCCATGTATCCATCCATGCACCACCCCCACACCCATCCTATCCACACACCCCCATACCCATCCTATCCACCCACCCACCATCCCCCATCCTATCCACCCACCCATCATCCACTATCCTATCCACCCACCTGTCTATCCACCATCCACCACTCCCACACCCATCCTATCCACCCACCTACCCATCCACCCACCCACCTATCCTATTCATCCACCCACCCACCCTGTCTATCCACCCACCCACCCACTCACCTATCCTATTCATCCATCCACCCACCCACCCACCCAATCTATCCACCCACCTGCCCACCCTATCTATCCACCCACCCACCCTATCTATCCACCCACCCACCCTATCTATCCACCCATCCACACACCCACCCACACTATCCATCCACCCACCCACCCACCCACCCTATTCACCCACCCCCCACCCACACTATTCATCCCCCCACCCACACTATCCACCCACCCACCAATTCTATCCATCTACCCATCCATTCTACCTATCCACCCACTCCACCCGTCCATCCATTTATCCATCCTTCCATTCATGCACCCACTCATCCGTCATCCATCCCTGCTTCCATCGTTTCATCCACACATCCATCCATCCATCCATCCATCCATTCTTGTGTTGGGTGCTCCATCTTAAAGTTATCAGAAGTGTTTCTGTCCGAAACTGCAGTTGCAGTGGAGAGGTTTTCAGCCCAAGCTTTTTATTCTTTTTGGACTCCCAGTAGACACTGATGAGTTTTCAGGGTCAAAGAGGAACATTTTAACAATGGTGTTAGCTGATCATTTTTTGTTTGTTTTTTATTTTGAGACAGAGTCTCGCTCTGTCTCCCAGGCTGGAGTGCAATGGCACAATCTCGGCTCATTGCAACCTCCGCTTCCTGGGTTCAGACGATTCTCCTGCCTCAGCCTCCCGAGTAGCTGGGATTACAGGCGCCCACCACCGCACCCAGCTAATTTTTGTATTTTTAGTAGAGACAGGATTTCACCATGGTGGCCAGGATGGCTTCGAACTCCTGACCTTAGGTGATCCGCCCGCTTCAGCCTCCCAAAGTGCTGGGATGACAGGCATGAGCCACCGCCCCTGGCCTGATAATTTTCTTTCTTTCATGATTGGCTCGTTCATGCTCTAAACTTAAGACTGGTCGAGGAAGTAGTACGTCTCTGTATTTTCAGTTGCTAGCACTAGTAGCCTACCAGGACTTTGGAGTTTATGAATATCTGTTTAGCAGACGGTTGATCTGGGCAAAACTTTTGTAGGCAGTGATAATTTTTCCTTTTCTTGAAATATGTTTAGAAAATGGAAATCCTATTTGAAAGCATGTTTCTTACATAGAAGGAAGTAATCTAGTTTTGTGCTACATGCGTTCCTTTTTCTAATGTAGCTTATGATGCATGATTGCTCCTTCATCACCTATCTCCCAAAGACTAAATACTTTCTATTTTGCTGAATGTCTAAGGATATTTGAGATGCTTATGAGGAGGTCTTTTCTGGCATGAGGTTTGACCTAACAGCGCTGCAGAGAATATATGGTAATTGTTACGGTTTTAGCATGACCAAAGAGAATTTTCTTTTTTCTTTCTTTTTTTTTTTGAGATGGAGTCTCGTTGCCCAGGCTGGAGTGCAGTGGCGTGATCTCAGCTCACTGCAACCTCTGCCGCCTGGGTTCAAGTGGTTCTCCTAACTCAGCCTCCCGAGTAGCTGGGACTACAGGCGCCCACCACCACGCCCAGATAATATTTTGTATTTTTGGTAAAGATGGGGTTTCACCGTGTTAGCCAGGATGGTCTCGATCTCCTGACCTCTTGATCCGCCCACCTCGGCCTCCCAAAGTGCTGGGATTACAGGTATGAGCCACCATGCCTGGCTGACCAAAGAGAATTTTCTCTGCATCTGAAGCATATAACTGCAAACCGATTTGTTTGTGGTTGTTAAATAAAGAGGACCAATCTTTTGTTTGTTTATATGCACTGTTTCCTTTCTCGCCCTAGTTGCATGAGAAACAGAAGCTTCTTAGATTGATCAGTTGCCTCCTTTTGTTGCATTTGAGCGTTGAGAACAAGGACCATGAGTTTTCTCCTCCATTGTGGTTTTAGTTCTAACATCTGGCACATAGTATTTAGTAAAGATTTGTGGAATAAGTGAGATAGGGTATTGGGGAAGATCATAAGAAAAACAAAAGATGAATTATTTATTTATAAATTTATTGTTAGGTCTATTCCAAAACTGACTTAGAAAGACAAAATTCTTTCCTGCTATAAAATATTTGTAAGAACTGTGTTGGGTTGGAGTTTGGGATTCACTTTTCCCATTGCAGATGCTTAAAAACCTCAGACTTTTCTTGTTGGGTTTCTTTTTGGGGAGGACTTTATTAGGGATACCATTTATAGTAGAAATTTGGAAGACTGTAAAAACCACTTAATATTCCCGAAAGATGGAAGGTTGTTTCTGGAAGCTGTTAGGTTTTGTTAAGGCAGAGATAATACATTTTCTTTTCTTTTTTGAGACGGAGTCTTTCGCCCAGACTGGAGTGCAGTGGTGTGATCTCGGCTCACTGCAACCTCTGCCTCCTAGGTTCAAGCGATTCTCCTGCCTCAGCCTCCCCAAGTAGCCAGGACTATAGGCGTGTGCCACCGTGCCCAGCTACTTTTTGTGTTTAGTGGAGACAGGGTTTCACCACGTTGGCCAGGCTGGTCTCGAACTTCTGACCTCACGTGATCCCCCCGCCTTGGCCTCCCAAAGTGCTGTGATTACAGGTGTGAGCCACCATGCCTGGCCAGTAATACATCTTTAGAGAGATCATTTTCCTTGGAACATAACTGAAAATGGTAGGATGAAAAGATGTGTAAAATGTAACTGAAGGTGGAAAAATCTTGCTCTGAATCTCTCACTTTCGTTTGAGTTAAATATTATTTTTATTCTTGAAGGAAGTTCTGGGAGTTTGTAGAAGTAGCCAGAAAATATCTTTAGAATATAGTGCTCTATGCAATATCCTGAGCCTTTTTTTTCTTTTTTTCTTTTTTTTTTTTTGAGACAAGAGTCTCTCGCTCTGTCGCCCAGGCTGAAGTGCAATGGTGCGATCTCAGCTCACTACAAGCTCCATCTCCTGGGTTCACGCCATTCTCCTGCCTCAGCCTCCTGAGTAGCTGGGACTACAGGCGCACACCACCACACCCAGCTAATTTTTGTTGTATTTTTTAGTAGAGACAGGATTTCTCCATGTTAGCCAGGATGATCTCGATCTCCTGACCTCATGATCCACCTGCCTCGGCCTCCCAAAGCGCTGGGATTACAGGCGTGAGCCACCGTGCCTGGCCTATCCTGAGACATTTTTGACAGTGCTGCAAACTATTACTATTTTTTCAGGTAGAAATATTTTATTTTATGTTGGAGATGGGATCTCGCTTTGTTGCCAAGGTTGGTCTTGAACTCCTGGCTTCAAGTGGTCCTTCTGGCTTGGCCTCTCAAAATGCTGGGATTACAAGGCATGAACCACAGTGCCTGGCCTGGAAATAATTTTTACTATAGATTCTTTCCTCTTTAAATTAATATTATGGGTTATGAAGCTCCTTTTGTATAATAATATCCAATATATGTTGTCAACCAGGGTATTGCTTTGCTTTTTCTTTAAAAAGGAGAAAACATGTAAGGTAGAGGAAGTGTAGTTTACTCTTAGGCATTCAGACAGTTTTTATTATTGGTGTCGTAGAAAACCCCAGACCATTTGCTGAGACCAAAAACTGTATATTTAAAATTTTAACACTTAATTTTTCTCCTGTGGCTTGTGTGAAGTTTTTAGGTGTAAAGCGTGAACAAGTAAGAGATTCATTTAACAAAACATTATTTTAGGAAACAAATATGAAAAAGCATTAAAACCATTCTTTTTTCTCTCCTAGCATTTTTGAAACATTGGGGTTGTTGGAGTGGTTGGATTTTCCCTGGAATTGAGTGAGAAATTCAGAAGACTGAAGCCCAGGCTTACTGTCTACCTTTCACGGAGGCCTAGCCGTGAGAGGACAGAAGAAGGCATGTGGCGAATCATGACAGCAGACAAAGACAAAGAGAAGGACCGGGACTGAGACTGGGACTGAGAGAGAGAGAAAAGAGACAAAGCAAGAGAGAGTGAGAATTCAAGGCCACGCCGGAGCTGTACCTTGGAAGGAGGAGCCAAAAATTATGCTGAGAGTGATCACAGTGAAGACGAGGACAATGACAACAATAGTGCCACCACAGAGGAGTCCACGAAGAAGAACAAGAAGAAACCACCGAAGAAAACGTCTCGTTATGAAAGGACAGATACCGGCGAGATAACATCCTACATCACTGAAGATGATGTTGTCTACAGACCAGGAGGTAAGGAGCCTTACATTTGGGTCTTGCCAGTGTTTACAATGGGGGAATGATCTTAGCATTAAGGTGAAATAAATACACTTTGTACACTTTAAGGAAGGCTTGGAATCTAGAAGAGTAGGAAACTTAATTTGGTAAACATGTGACCCACTTTTGGTCAGTTAGGTTTACCCACTTCTTGCTTGTGTCTGCCTTAATTTGGTCTTGTGTCCTGGTTTATGCATTCATGAGTTCTTTTCTTATTTTCCTATGCTGCTTGTTCTCTAACTTGACCATCTGCTTAGTATTTTTTTGTCTTTTGAATTCATGCTTGGTTTTTAATCTTCAATCATAAATGAGACTGTGGTGACCCTGCAGAATTGACTGCTTGGTGGAGACAAGTAAACCTTAAGATTCTTGGAAACAGGAAATTTTACCTTGGGACAGGATCGACCAGACTCTAGAGAGGTACTTTTTAAAAATGGCCTTTAGGCCAGGCATGGTAGCTCACACCTGCAATTCTAGCACTTTGGGAGGCTGAGGTGGGTGGATGACCTGAGGTCAGGAGTTCGAGACCAGCCTGACCAACATGATGAAACCCTGTCTCTACTAAAAATACAAAAATTAGCTGGGCTCGGTGGTGTGCACCTCTAATCCCAGCTACTTGGGAGGCTGAGACAGGAGAATTGCTTGAACCCAGGAGTTGGAGGTTGCAGTGAGCCGAAATCGCGCCACTGCGCTCCAGCCTGGGCGACAGAGCGAGTCTCTGTCTCAAAAAAGAAAAAAAAAAAGGCCTGAAGATCAGAGATTTATTGCTCCTGCTAACTTCCTTTTCCAAAAATTTGAGCTTCAGGCTCTCTAATCAACGATAATAGAAGAAGTCATCTAACCTGCTTGGTTTTCCGGAAAATGTATTATGGTCATGCCAGTATATTGTGGCTTACAGCATTGCTCAAAAAAAGACAGACTCAACTTTTAGATGAGATCAGGGAAACAAGTGAGTCAAAACCTGTTGAACACTAGCAAAGCCTTTCCTTTTCATTTGATGTATTGTGTGTATTAAGACACCTTTTTTAGGCTGGGCACAGTGTAATCCCAGCACTTTGGGAGGCGGAGACAGAAGGATTGCTTGAGCCCAGGAGTTCAAGACCAGCCTGGGTAACATGGTGAGACCTCATCTCTACAAAAAATTTTTACAAATTAGCTGGGCCTGGTGGCATACACCTGTAGTCCTAGCTACTCAGGAGGCTGAGGCAGGAGCATCACTTGAGTCTGGGAGGTCGAGGCTGTAGTGAGCCATGATTGCACCACTGCATTCTAGCCTGGGCGACAGAGCAAGACCCTGTCTCAAAAGAAAAAAAAAAAAAAAAAACAAGATATTTTCTTACAGAAGCCAGTAAAACCTAGGTGAAATCATTTTGTTTGAGTTACTTTTACTGTTGAAGAGTGACATGAATTTCATATGAGATGTAATTAGCAGATTAAAGCTGCCCATTTTTATGTTTTTCTGAGAAAGAGATTAAAATGCTTTACTGTGTTATGTCCATAATCTGGAACAATCATTTTACTGAGGAATGCTGTTACTGTTCTGAACTTCACATCAAGTTCCAGATTTTCATTCTCCCACACAGGAGTTTTTTAAATTTCAAAAGATGTCAGTGGGGCTGAGCGCAGTGGCTCATGACTGTAATCCCAGCACTTTGAGAGGCTGAGGTGGCGGGAGGATTGCTTGAGCAATGTGGAGACCTGCCTGGGCAACATAGTGAGACCGTATCTCTACAAAACAGTAAAAAATTAGCTGGGAGTGTGATGAGACTGTAGTCCCGGCTACTCAGGAGGCTGAGGTAGAAGAATCTCTTGAGCTCAGGAGGGCAAGGCTGCAGTAAGCCCCATTCACATTATAGCACTCCAGCCTGTGCAGCAGAGCAAAACCCTATCTCCACCCCTCTCCCCCCCACACACAAAAAAGTCAGTGCTAGAACTTAATACAGACAAATTTGCATTCACAACTACAATTTCTTGGTTGAAGATTAACTGAGAAGGTATTCGTGTGATATAAATTGATCAGAGTGGAGGTTTTAGAGCAGTTAAAAATCTGCTGTGAGGATTAAATGATGTGTGTAGGTTACAGTACTGTCTGTATTTATCTTTGATTTAGACTCAGCTATTGGGCAGTAAGAATTTCTTAGTGACTGAAGAATCAGAGTTACCACAGATTGCTTGTTTAGGGCGTATGCACATCTAAATCATGGGAAAGGAACAAAATATGTTAACTCTTTTTTTTTATTATTATACTTTAAGTTTTAGGGTACATGTGCACAATGTGCAGGTTTGTTACATATGTATCCATGTGCCATGTTGGTATGCTGCACCCATTAACTCGTCATTTAGCATTAGGTAGATCAGCACTTTGGGAGGCCGAGGCAGGGGGATAGCTTCAGCCCAAGAGTTTGAGACTAGCCTGGGCAACATAGTGAGGCCCTGTCTATGCAAAATGAATGAATGAATGAGGCATTATGGTCACTCTTACTAGATTTGATTGACTGTGCCTTTACTTTTCAATAAATAATACATAGACTTTCCTGACCTAAGCTTTATGATGATCTCAGGTTGTGATATGGGGGTAGGAGGAGGTTAACTCTCTCTATAGCCACTGCTTTCCTTAAAATCATTGCTTTTTATTTAAGTGTCTTAACATGGCATTTTAAAAAGCAACCTTGGCCAAGCATGGTGGCTCATGCCTGTAATCCTGACACTTTGGGTGGCTGAGGTGGGAGGATTGCTTGAGCCCAGGAGTTGGAGACCAGCCAAAAAAAAAAAAAAAAAGCAATGCTTTACACTCCAGTCATTGAGAGAATCAAAAATTATTTTCCAACCACTGCCATGTCAAATGTAATTTAAGAAAGCACCCTTCTTCCCTGAAGAAAATGCAGTTTGGTTTACTTTATTCCATCTCTGATTAGTGGCATTGGTTTTGTTTACAATTAGAAAATAAAATGTGTTTAGAGTACAATTTAATGGCAAATTGTCTATAAGAGATTAGTTTTCTTTCTCTTTTTGATTAGCTGAAAAGGTCATTGTAGTAGCATGTTCAAGCTAGTCATCTTTGCGTATTTAATTTATTTCCTCACAAAATATTTATTACAAATATAGTAGCACGTTTCTCTTTTTTGAAGACATGTGAGCATCTATCTGAATAAGATACTCAAGATTTCATCTTGATGTGTGATCTTGAGCAAGCGGTTTCTTTTATCTAAATGTCTTCATCTGAATATAGATAATCCCTTGGAATCCTCCCCTTCTTCAGGGACTCTGAAGAAAATAATTTAGGCTTCATCAGATTCTTTAAATTATTAGAAAAATAATCAGAAAGAACCAAAGGGCTGTTTTCCTTTAGCCTAAAGATGTTTGCAATTTAATATCATCTTTTGGAAAAAAATTTACAATAAAAGATATATGCTTTGTCATTTATGCAGTGGCTTTATGGGCCCTGTCTTTGTTCCTTAAAGGTAAATTCCATTGTGTTAAAATTTCTTTTTCTTTTAAAGACTGTGTGTATATCGAGAGTTGGAGGCCAAACACACTGTATTTCATCTGTAGCATTCAAGACTTCAAACTGGTAAGCATTTTTAATGTGCTGTTCGCTCTGCTCTGTATTCTCTCTTTTTCCAGTTCCATTGGCTATCTCTTATTGTTACTCCATCGCTGTTGACGTGGTTACCAGTTCACCTTTTGAGTGCTAACTGCCTCGTGGCAGTAGCACTGAAATGAGGGTTACTAGTTCCATCTTTTCAGCTTTGTAACACTTACTCTCATAATGCTTATATTGTAAACAATATTTCTGAAGTTTTTATCCCTTTAGTAACTGTTTTGACAATTTCGGGTAGTCCCTTGAATTTCTGAAGTAGGTTGTTTCTTCTCAGCCATTGTTAAGAGCCTAAAGTAAAGTAAATTCAGTAAATTGATGAGTAGGGGAAATAATATAAACGGGTCAGAGAATAGTTTCCAGTGGAAATCTGTCACTTCCTTCAATATTTCGGCAGGTGTAGAGCATATGTTGAAATTGTTGTGGGGGTTTCCCGGGGTAGCGGTTGAAAGAAGTCTGGCTTGGGCGTGGTAAAGCTGTTATACTTTCTTTCCAGTTTTAGTGCATGTGTTGCAGAAGCGAGGACATAGCTGCTGTACTTTCTCATTAAAAATTCTTCCTGAATATATAAGTGTTGATGTTCCTCATTATGAAATCGCTTTTTTAGGGCCAGTGGTTCTCACACTTTAGGCTTTGGATCGCTGGATGTCTGCAGAGATTTGGCAGAGGTCTGCAAATAAACATGCTAAGCTTTATATAAATGAATTGATCTCACACGTCTGGACAACGATTTTTCAGCCTGTTTTCAGTATGCTTTTATGATTTTTAAAAATTTCACTTATTTAAAAGCAATACACAGTTAAGAACCACTATTTGTTGTTGTTGTTGTTTGAGACAGAGTCTTGCTCTGTCACCCAGGCTGGAGTGCAGTGGTGCAGTCTTGGCTCACCGCAGCCTCTGCCTCCCGGAAACAAATGATTCTCCTGCCTCAGCCTCCCGAGTAGCTGGGATTACAGGTGCGTGCCAGTACAACCGGCTGTTATTTTTATATTTGTATTTTTTAGCAGAGAACAGGGTTTGTATTTCTAGCAGAGAACAGGGTTTCACCATGTTGGCCAGGCTCGTCTCCAACTTCTGACCTCAAGTGATTTGCCTGCTTTGGCCTCCCAAAGCGCTGGGATTACAAATGTGAGCTGCCATGCCTGGCAGGAACCACCGTTTGTTTGTTATTTTCCTCAAACAATTGGTATTTGAAATACTACTGAAGTAGTATCATTTGGGAATCTTTTGAAACATTTTGATCTTACAAGGGACCCTAGTACTTTGAAGATTGTGAACCACTGTCTGTACTCTTAAGGGTAGAGAATTCCTAATTCCTTAGCTTTGTAGAGATGTGTATCACTATCTGTGAATGCTGTTATTTCCAACACGCTTTGTAATTCGACAATGTTTGTTTTCTGACATATGTTGTATGTGATATTTCAGTCTAAAGAAATGTAGTTTGAAAAGATCTTTCTCTGCATCTCCTTTGTTTTTTATCATTTTTAATGGCCCAAGTACCAAATTAGTATATTCAGTAAAAAAAAAAAAAGTCACATTATTTTTCTTTGTTAAAAAGTTATTGCTTAAGTTATTGCATGCTTACTGTTTTAAGATGAAGTCAAATGTGCTATTTACTTCTAAGATGGGTCTATTCTTGATAGGCGGCTTTTACCTTTTCTGGTTGCATTGCAAGGTGGCCTCGCAGTTTAATCTTGTAAATCAAATGCTTTCTATCCAATTTTTATGTCTATATGAATTTTTAAAAACCATTTTTAGAGGTCTTTGCTACTTATTGTATCTTTCCTTCCAAAGTGTGTGTTTTTTTTTTTAACAGATACAGCACTGACACCTGAAATACGGGTACAGCCTTATTCCTGAAGAGTTTTGTTTTGGTAGTGGCTGCTGCTACTGCCCTTTTCCTGCCCATTGTCTTTGTGTGTGATTTTTACTAAACCAAACATCAGTGCACCATGAAAAATATATAGCTGTGAAATAAAATTGTAAATATTTTTATTTTACCTATTAGATCTTGAGCCCCCGTTTGTACAGTTTTTGCACATTAGCAGGTGCCTTCATGTTTGAACAGGCATCTCTTATGAAATGCTGATTACAATGTGATAGTTGCTGTTCTGGGCAGAAGTTCCTGCTGAGTTACGGTAATTGCTCAGGGTGTTAACAGCAATAAAAGCTGAAGCTTCTGTTGTCAGTATTGGTCTAATACAACACATTAAAGCTATCTACAAAAATATGTGGGAAGTAGGGTGCAGTATGTTTAGATGCCTTTTTCTAAATCACACACTGCTGTTTCTCATGTTTTTGTTTGAGGTTCTGTATTCGGCACATCCTCATAGTTGTGTAAGAACAACAGATGATGAAATATTTGCTCTGGGAATAAATATAGTTATTTCCACTGTCTTATTTTCTTACTTCTCTGTACTTATTAAAAGATAATCAAATAGATGAGAATGATCAAGATTTTTTTCTCCTTCAGTTTACTGAAGCTATAAGGGAAAAACATGAGCAGGAGGAAATAAGCTTTGTTTCTCTGTGAGATTTTAAAAAGAAGAAGAAATTGAATTTGATTTTGCTCACAGCAAATAACATGACTAGTGGAGCAATGAAAGAAACAAAAACCCAATAGCTTTGAAATGTTGAGTAATTAGGTATTTTATCTTTTTAATAATCACAAAATAAAAAGTTGGTTTGGGGTTATAACTGAGAGACGTGTTTCATTGTTTATACTATAAATGAGAATCCCTTTGCCACGGTGAAATTTTGTGTATAAAGTATGTTTGGGCACTGTAAAAATAACTGGGTGAATGCCCTTTATGATACACATTAGTAGGTATGATTACGATGTTAAAGACAACAAAAGCTAATGAGGTGAGGCGTGGGGAGGAGGAGACATGTACCGCCAGTCACTGAGACTAGAATAATGGCAGTTTATTGAACCGAGGGCCTTAGGTCACATTTCATGAAATAGCTCTATGTGAGATAAGGAGAAGGGTCTTTGTATTTTATGTGGGGACCTGGGTCGTCTTCTCAATTCTGCTGCTGCATTCCCTTAGAATCGAGTCTGTGGTATAGAACACAGCTGCCTCTATGTCCTGATCCCTGTCTGTTGTCCTGCCAGACTATTAAACAGCCTCCCCTTTCACTCTCAAAAATGTCTGAGTGTGGATGATAGGTTGTGTGGTTATCTTGCCTATGGGGATAGGATCCATGGCTTCTGCTTTATTAATATTCAACCATCAAAACACATAAGGACACCACCATCCTACACTAGTAGGTGTATTTCGAGCCCATGCTTCCACAGGGTAGGTGGAGGCTATGATAGTATCAAGCAGTTAAGTTCCTAACTGAGCTGAGGTTTTAAAAGTAGGAATTATGTATTCTGTTAGGAAGCTTTCATTCTCTTAGGAAGTATTCATTTGATTGGGCTTATTTACAAACGGAGATGTCTGATTTTGTTTGAATGCGCTGACCAAAGTATTTATGGAACAAGTAGTCAAAAGCAGGAGCTCAGGCGAGCAGAAGAGGCAGGGTAGAATTATGGACAGTGCATACTTAGAAGCAGGAGAAAGAAGTATTGTTGATTAAAAAGGTCGCTTCGCACCGTAGATTTCTGAACTAATTAGTAAAATAGCTGGCAAAGTCTTTATTTAGCTTTTTGAAGGTCTAGTAATTCGGAATGACAGTCTGTGATCCTTGTGGCCTGGCATGAAAAGATTAATTGAGCCAAATTTCATTTTTAGAATTTAGAGTTGAGAAACTGAGAGACTGAGGCAGTTAGTAGAGGGGAAAGGTGAATGGATAATTCAAGAATTATCCCTAATATGTCTGTAGAAATTAAAAATAAAAAAAGAATTACCTGAATGACAAGAGCAAGGTTAGGGCTGACATAGGCAAGCTCACTTGCTAGGGAAGGAAACTCGGAAAAGCAGAGGACAGGGAAGCTGTGGGAAGGGCAGCAGACTGCCAAGGGAAGTGAGTGCACAGCCGTCTCTTCCTTGACTCTCCTGGGTCCCACTGCACTGATGTTCTTCCCACAGGATTCTTAGATTATCCTGTTCACTCTGAGTAGAGAGCTCTCATCTGGGCTAGCTTGAGTGGATCTTCATGAATTGCAATGGAAAGAGCCTAGGTTAACATCTCCAACCCTTCTGCTGCCCTCCCATAGCTTTTAGAGGTCACCATGTGACTTAGTTACTTTGAGGGTTTTGTTCTGAATGAGTCAATATCATTGAGGAGCATTATATCACAGAGTGCAAATAGGAATGTTTTGGGCTATAATCAGGGCCTTCCACAGGCATTTACTGAATACCTTCTTTGTGTTCTTTATGGAACTCAGCACTTAAAGAGAGACTGAAGAAGTATAAAATATTGTTCATTCCCTCAGTGATCTTAGTTAGATTCTAAGTGACAGACAACTTGTGGCATTATTGGATGTCAGTCTTCTTTGGAGAACATTCTGAATAGGATTGACAAGAAGGGCATTCGCTTTTAGATCTAAAAGAAATGATTTCTTTTGTGTGTTTATGAAAAACAAATCATATTTTTATGGAAACCCAGGCATTAAGAAGTATAATACAAATAATTTGCCATCTGGAAATAATCATGGAGTCTGAGAATGCTAACAAGGTCATGGAGACAGTAATTTTCATTCAGTATAACACTGAGGAGTTCCTTGTATAGTAAGTAGTTCCTTGTAGCAGTTACTACCTTTCTTTATTCACAGATAAGTAAGCAAACTCACTCCTGTAATATTCTCCATGGAAATTCAGTGTGGATTCTTGCATTGCCGTCATTCATACAGTAGAGGAAAACATGCTTTTGGTTTCCTAAAGTTACATAGGTGTTTCAGCTGTTACTTATACCAAATGAGTTTCTAGGTAGTATATGTAGCTATAAGTACTATTTTGGGTTAATAACATTGATTCATTTTGGTTCCTTAACTGTTTATTAAAACTTGGAAAATTGTCCTTAAAGTTAAGCCAGATACAGAGATTCCTTAGAGTTGGGGGTGATAGTTAGGGATGTTAAAGTGTTTCAGGTGATGGTTAGCTGGGCTCGACATATTGTTACGGCTCTGCATAGATGATAATGCTGCTGTATCATTTGTGTCCCCAACAGCCTACTTTCTAAGTACTAGTTCTGAATGTGGAATAGCTAAGGATGCATACTACTAGTTACCTTGGAGAATGCACATTTCCATTATTGCTGTGAATGTGGGGGCCAAGTTATTTATCGTTTAATACCATATCCCTCTTGTTGTTTTATTGTCAAATGTGAGCAGCTGGAGGAAAAACACTTGGAATTTCTCTCTGATCCCTGGTCTGTACTCATAAGTTGTTTGCCACGCACTACCCTTTACTCATGCCTTCCCCGACAGTACAGCAGCAGAAGGGCTGCAGAGAAATTAACTTCATCTTAGGTTCCACTTGCCATTGAGATTGCCCGCCCTCCACCAAATTTATTTTCTTAAAAATGGATTAAAAGTAACAAGAAGCTATTTCTCCTCCTTTGTAATAAAAACTTACTGAGGATGAGTAATTATGTCTTCTTTTCTTATTAGAACCATAGATGATGCTGGGAGATATCAGATAGCGACTTAATTACCCATACCTTTTGTGCACACATTCAAGTGTACACACAGTGACTTAATTATCAGACTTACGCATTATCTACCGCATTTCTTTAATCCCAGCTTGGCTGTTACCACTTAGCACAGAAGGTGTAGTGTATGGACATTCATGGAATGGGCATTCGTTTAAAAGGAGGTAAATCTTGCATTGGAGCCCTTTTTTGGTTGCGGGGGGTGGGCAGGAAGGTCCACATAATTTGAACATGGCTAATTCAGAATTTAGGATCTGTTATTCTGGGATTGAGATGAGGGATGGTAGATTGCCCAGGTTCAGAGCTCGGACTTCGACATCAGGTTGTCTGAGTTCACGTACTCCGTCCATCAGTTGCCATCTTTCCTGACCTTGGGAAATACACTTAACCCTCTTAACTTTCTTTAGTTACCTGTGAAGTTGGGATATAAAGTACCAACCTTGCCAAGTAGATTGTTTTTAGATTAAAAGGTCAAACTTACAAAGTGTCCAGTGCCCCATAGAGTGACACTGATTGTGATGTTGATGTTTAGTTGGTACCTTAGGTTTATGCTTTTTATTCACTGATGTATATATTGTGTGCTTATCACATTGGCTGGCTGTATTGTCCACAGTAAGTATTTATTGAATACTGAATGAAGTAACATTTAAGTGGAATCAATTCACTGGATAAGTATTTTTAAAAAACTTTAGTAGTAGTTGTTTGATACAGTGCATACATCAACACAAATTAACATTCTCTTAAACAAGCCAAAGAAGTCTACTCACTTACTTTTGGTTAGCCTGCAGTGCGTAATGTATAGAAATAATAAAACTTTATTTATTTTAAAATACTTGAAGAAAATTCAGTTTCTTCTTTTCTTCACGAATTTGAATGAATGTAGCCTAAGTCATAACATTTTTTAGGCATCATTATATTGTTTTGGGTTTTCCATATGACTGACTTTCAGCAAAGATAAATGAGGGCCTAGTATACGTGTGAACCTCCCAGAAAAGGCCAACTGTTATGAAAAATGCCTTACGCTATGATGATTTGTTTCTGTGTGACACATCAGTTGTTTCTGTTTTTGTTTTTGACAGTCCTTCAAGGTAGGCTTGCAAAATTGAGTATTTCTTTCTATAGCTCCTTCTTCTCTTTACTTTCTTGGCTTGTACCATACAAAAAGGTCAGTATCACCCAGTTACGCCTTTGTGACTTGTTGTGTAGTGTTGGATAATGAAGTAAAAACTTTACATTAAAGTTCATTATCAAGTATTTTCAGCTATTATATCCAAGGACCAAGTGGCCTTTTCATATATAAATTTGTGATTTCTAATTTTGTTTAATTCTTTAACGAGGCAAGAGGCAGGATGGAATTCTTTTTTGGAGACAGAGTTTCCCTCTTGTCACCCAGGCTGGAGTTCAATGGCGTGATCTCAGCTCTTTCCAACCTCCGCCTCTGGGTTCAAGTGATTCTCCTGCCTCAGCCTCCCAAGTAGCTGGAATTACGGGCACCTGCCACCACCCCCAGCTATGTTTTTGTATTCTTAGTAGAGACGGGGTTTCACTATGTTGGCCAGGCTGGTCTTGAACTCCTGACCTCGTGATCCACCTGCCTTGACCTCCCAAAGTGTCAGGATTACAGGCATGAGCCACTGCATCAAGCAAGATGGAATTCTTTAGCCCTGAGTTTGGTGGACTCAGTCAGAGGAGGTTGTATATCTATACTCCCCTCCCACCACAATTATAGAGTAATGGTGTTGAAAGTTTTTTGAACGACCACATCCTTTTTGCATGATATTGATGTCAACCTCTAAATGGACAGGGTGGTATTAACATAAGTGGAAATCAAAATGAGGCCTTGGGAATAAATAATCCCAGCATTTTATTGGCCCCATTTTCTGAGCTTCCCAGCAATTTGTCTTCACTCGTGGCTGCCAGTCAGGGTAGGGCACTTGGGATTTTAAGTTTTAGTGTTTAACTACTATTGTGAGGTTGGGTAATTCATTTTCTTCTAATTTACTTGGGTCAAGGGACTCTAAGAAACTATTGAAAAAGTTTTGTTTAATTATATGTATTTCCATAAACTATATTTCTGAAAATGTTATTTACTAAAATTGTTAACTATATGTGAAATTGTTTTCAATGCAGAAAACTCATCTTGTGGCCAATATAATGGCCAAATATAAAGGCCAATTTATATGGCTGTTGGCAACTGAAATGGGGAAAAAAGGGGGTAAGTTTGAGTTCAAGTGTGGAATGTGAGTTTCCCCAGGCTCATTGGGACTCATGACCCACCAATCTAAACTATTTTGGGTGTTGTCCTCTTGGGTGACATTTTGTAGGGTATTGCTCAGAAATAGCGAGGCTTTTCTCCAGTGCTAGATGCAGAATAAGCCCTTCACGAGGCTTGGGTCGGGCTGTAGCTATACTTCTTAACGGCTATCCCTTGGTTACTCCTCTGTTACTAGTGGTGGTCCTGAGGGATGTGTAAGAGGCAGCAGGATGAAGTATCTGTAGTGCTTTATCCCTTAAAGCACAGGGACCCGTGTGGGTGATCATAGGGGTTATTATCGTGTAGTGCATCTCCCTTTTTAGGAAAGTTCACACTTGTCTTCCTTTTTTTTCCTGTAATGGTAGGACTTAATGGAGGATTTAATGGTAATGGTTTCTGAAAGTCGAGTATTTATTCTTCTGAGTGACTACTGGGTTAATATGAAAGAAGTGTGGTTTCAGTTAAGCATTGACGTCAGTGTGAAGAAGTGACTGTGGCACCCCAGTTCATACTGAATTAGCAAATAATACAAGAGGATAGCAAGCTCTCTCACACTTAGACACACACAATGCGGGATACTGTCAATATACGGTGAGTTGTTCAGTTGCAGTGTAGAATATTAATATCTTGGGGTGAAGAAAAGAAAGTGCTCCAGATGCCATGTGGCACTTGGGGAAGTTCTGTGAAGGTGGGTAGGTTTTGAGGAGCTGGGTATGTTTTTCACACATCAATAAGAAGTGGATAGGCAGAGTATAGGAGCCTTGCAGGTGTACATGGCAGCCTGTCCTTATAAGCAACACAGGCAGTGAGGCTGACGAGTCTGGGAGTCGTGAGAAGAAGACCCGCAGGACGTCACTGAAGAGCACAGGTTAGTGGATTTTGGGAGGCAGATGTGGAGATATAAAATGGGTCTAGATTATAGAGAATCTTCAAAGTTAGCAAAGTTAAGATTTTGTGTAATAGGCAGTAGAGAGCTTTTGTAAGCTTTTTTATTCGAGACGAGCCACCTTGCAGACCACTGCTTAAGAAGATTGACTGTAGCAGTTTGCAGTGTGGAACGGGAAAGATGGTGAAAGTTCCAAGTAGGAGGCTAGGGCCGCCATTCATGGGTAAGATGAAGAGGACCAAGACAGTAGAGATGATATATTGATAATTGTAACCAAATCAGGAGTAATTGTTGGAACAGCATAACACGTTTACATATTTGCTGATGTAATTACTCAAGGGTCATACCATAAAAAGGGGTGGGGATTTCACATTATGGAAACCTTGGAATTCTCTGTCTTACGGTGGAAGACAGAACCCAGTGTAGTATAGATAAAAGTCTAATTTTAATTCCCAGAGAAAGACTGATGTCTTATGGGACAAATTAGTAGATTCCCAATGTGACTACCTACTTTTAAAGCTTCAGCCTTTACCAATGACCAATATGTCTTATTTACCGATATGTCTTATTTCCACATATATCTAAAAAGTGGGTTTTACTTTCAGGCTGATATTTTCTTAATCAATGTGGATGCTATTATTAATACTTTTATTTACTGTAATACTCAACAGGATTTGCTGAATGGATTTTAAGTCTTCCCCATAATAACATTAATTTTTTTTGTAAACTTTTTATATTACAATTAATGATGACTAGTATTTATTTTTTAGCAATAAAAATATTTGTGTCTACTGATGATTTAAATAAGTTCATGACTGGTGGAGCACTTGGTACATTATATGTAGATGTGAGAGATTCTGTAGTGAGAGGATAAATCTTCTTTCAGTCAAGATGATGGTACATAAAGCTAACTGTATTGATTGTTCTTTAATGATGCTTTGTGCTGCCAAAGTCATTTGAGCTGGATCTGAATCAGATCCAGTTGGCGAAGCTTCCCCATATGTGGAGCTCTTATAAATCCTGCAGGCACACAGATCTAATACAGAGTAATGAGATAGCTGCTGGGAGAAAAAATTGATTACAGGGTTGCAGACAATATCATTAACATTTCTTACCATGATACACCAGATGTCTTCCCTAATAGACTATTTTTGTTAATTTGGTTTTTATAGGATAGCATTGATTGCATCATAATTTAACTTTCTTTGCATATTCAGGTATATGTGATCTGTGTTTCTACACTAATGATGGAATAAACTCATCAGATTTAATTTTGTAAGTTTTAACTTATCTGTTCATTTTTCTATCTGCTGGAGAGGCAACATTTTTACTTGTACTGAGAATCTGTTAGCTTGGATGTTTTCTAGTAAAAATTACTGTGTTCAGTGGTGGGGAGGGAGTAGTGAGGGAGGTAGGAAGGCAAAGATAACATTGCCCAGAACCTCCCTAAACTGGTCAGAAATGATTCTACCCGTCAGCTGATTTACATAGAAACCAGGTGGCACCATGGCAGAGGCTCTAGCCAAAGCAGGAAAGGTGCAACCTTTCAAGGGGACATACGTGCACATTTATCTCCATTGTCAAGGGTGTGGCTCTGCAGGAGAGGACTCACGTTGGCACCTATCCTCTTCTTCACTAGAAGATCAAGGACTAAAGAGGATATTAGTTAGTTAGCATTTTAATTCTTTTAGCCATATCTTTTTGTGTGTTTGACTTCTTTTGAGTGGTTAACACACATAATAGGACAGTATTATAGGGGTGGTTTGAACTGTTTTGAGTAGTGTTTTTTTTTGTTGTTGTTTTTGTTTTGAGACAGAGTCTCACTGTGTTGTGCAGGCTGGAGTGCAGTGGCATGATCTTGGCTCACTGCAACCTCCATCTCTTGGGTTTAAGCGATTCTCCTGCCTCAGCCTCCTGAGTAGCTGGGATTACAGGTGTGGGCTACCACACCTGGCTAGTTTTTGTATTTTTAGTAGAGAGAGTGTTTTGCCTTATTGGCCAGGCTGGTCTTGAACTCCTGACCTCAAGTGATCCTCTCAACTTGGCTTCCCAAAGTGTTGGGATTACAGGCGTGAGCCACTGTACCTGGCTGTGTATGTTTTGTTGTTGTTGTTTTTTGAGACAGAGTCTTGCTCTGTCACCCAGGCTGGAGTGCAGTGGCATGATCTCAGCTCACTGCAACCTCTGCCTCCCGGGTTCAAGCAATTCTCCTGCCTCAGCTTCCCAAGTAGCTGGGACTACAGGTGCATTCCACCACACCCGGCTAATTTTTTTTGTATTTTTAGTAGAGATGGGGTTTCACTGTGTTAGCCAGTATGATCTTGACCTCCTGACCTCATGATCCACCCACCTAGGCCTCTCAAAGTTTTGGGATTACAGGTGTGAGCCACCACACCCGGTGTATTTTTTTTTAATCATTATTTTTGTTGTGCATTTTCCTTTAGGGAACTTTTTTTCTTTTGACATGTTTCTTGGTAACATAGGATATGTTAATTAACCTTTCTAACTCTTAGTTTTCTCACTTGTAGTATGGGTATAATAATACTACTATCTATGACAAAGACTTGTTGCAAAAATTAAATAAAATAATTCATTAAATTTCTTAGCACCATACTTAGCATATAGCAAGCATACATTAAGCATTGTCTATTATCCTGTAAGACTCGAATTATACAAATTCTGGTCATTCTTTATTCATTTATTTATTTATTTATTTATTTATTTATTTATTTATTTATTTATTTGAGATGGAGTCTTGCTCTGTCGCCCAGACTGGAGTGAAGTGGCACAGTCTCGGCTCATTGCACCTCTGCCTCCTGGGTTCAAGCGATTCTCCTGCCTCAGCCTCTGGAGTAGCTGGGATTACAGGCGTCCACCACCATGCCTGGCTAATTTTTGTATTTTTAGTAGAGACAGGGTTTCACCATGTTGGCCAGGCTAGTCCTTGTTAAAAATCAGTTAATCATATTTGTTTTGTTCTATGTCTGTGTTCTCTTTCCTTGATTTATGTGTATCTTTTAACTGTATCATATAATCTTGATTATTATAGCTATACTGTAAGTTCTGAAGTTGGGTAGTTTGTGTCTCCACATTGTACTTTTTTTTTGGCTATCTTTTGCCTTTCTATTTAAACTTTAGAATAAGTTTGTCTATATCTACAAAGTAGTTTGATGGAATTTTAATTGAGATTGAATGAAATCTGTAGATCAATTTGGGAGAAAAGAGTGTCAATAATGTTGGGATTTTCAGTCAATGGCATAGAATGTTTTCCATATAATTAGATCTTTAACATGTTCCATCTGTGTCTTAACTTTGCTTACAGATCTGCACATATTTTGTTAAATTTATACATATATGTTTTATTTTCTGCTACTATTGAAAATAATATTGCTTTCTAAATTTCAAATACCAAAATTTCATTGTTGGTATGTAGAAAAAGAATTGAGTTTTGTACATGAACTTTGTGCCCTGAAGATTTGCTGTGCTGCTTATACACTCCAGAAGATTTTTCCTTGTAGGTTTTTGAGGATTTTACATATAGACTATCATATAATTGGCAAATAAAGACAGGTATTTTTCTTTCCAATAAGAGTACCTTTTTTGTCTTATTGAATTAGGTAGAATTTCCAGTGAGATGTTCAAAAGTGTGGCAACAGAAGTTATAATTGCCTTTCCCTATTTTAAAGATATAACATTCAGCCTCTGACCATTATGTATGATGTTAGCTTTAGGTTTTATGAGTGTACTTTATCAAGTTGAGAAAGCTCCCATTTATTCCTAGTTTATGAGATATTTTTGTTTGTTTGGTCAATGAATTGATGAATTTTTGCCAAAAGGTTTTGCTGCATCTATTGATATAATCACATAATTTTTCTTTTTTTTTTAGCCTGTTGAAATGGTAAATTACATTGATTGGTTTGTGTGTTCAGTCATTTTTGAATATTTGAATAAATTCTGTTTTGTTATGGTTATAATTCTCTTTATATACTATTGAATTCTGTTTGCTAACATTTTGTTGAGGAATTTTGCATTTGTGTTCTTCAGATATATTAGTTTTTCCTTTTTAGTTTATTTTTAATCGACAAATAATAATTGTATACATATGTGGGTACAAAGTGATGTTTTCCGATATGTATACATTGTGAAATTATTAAATCAATATCTGTCACCTCGCATACTTATTTTTTTGTGGTGAGAACATTTAAAATCTGCTCTCTTAGCAGTTTTCAAACATACCATACGTTATTGTTAACTACAGTCACTATGCTGTACAATATGTCTCCAGAATTTATTCTTCCTATCTGAAACTTTATACCCTTTAACCAATATCTTCCCATCTCCCCCAATCCCTTTTAACTACCATTCTGCTTTTTTTTCTGTAAGTTTGACTATTTTAGATTCCACATATATGTGGGAACATGCTGTATTTATCCTTCTGTGCCTGGCTTATTTTATTTGTCATAATGTCCTCCAGATTCATCTATAGATTTACTTATTTTTCAAGGCTGAATAGTATTTCATTGTGTATATATACCACATTATTTTTACTCATTCTTCTGTTGATGGACACTTAGGTTGATTCCATATCTTGGCCATTGTGAACAACACTGCAGTGAACATGGGAATGCAGATACCTCTTCAACATGCTGATTTCATTTTATTTGATATATACCCAGAAATTGAATTACTGAATTATATGGGAGTTCTATATTTTTAGATTTTAGAGAAAACTCCATAATATTTTCCAAAATGCCTGTACTAATTTACCTTCCTACCAACAATGTACAGTGGTTCCCTTTTATCCACACCCTCACCAACACTTGTTAGCTTTTGCCTTTTTGATAAAAGCTGCTTGAGCAGCTGCGAGGTGATATCTCATTGTGGTTATAATTTGCATTTCCCTGATGATTGGGCATTTTTAAACATTCCTATTGCCTATTTGTATGCCTTCTGTTTTGAGAAGTGTCTACAGGAGGTCCTAGTGACAGGCATTAGGCATAAGCAAGAAATTACATGCATCCAAATCAGAAAGGAAGAAGTTAAATTGTCTCTGCATATGATATGATCTTATATATAAAAACTCTAAAGACTCCACCAAAAAAACTGTTAAAATTAATAAATGAATTTAATAAGGTTGCAGGATACAAAATAAGCATTCAATAATCAGTAGTGTTTCTATTTACTAACAGTGAAATATCTGAAAAAGAAAGAAGAAAAAAACATGATTGCATCAAAAATATGAAAAACAAGGAGTGGCAAGATCTGTACATTGAAAAACTATTGAAAATATTAATGACACAAATTAAAGAAGATACAAATAAATGGAAAGATATCATGTGTTTATGGGTTGGAAGAATTAGTATTATTAAAATGCCCATAATACCTAAAGATATCTGCAGATTCAGTGCAATCTCTATTAAAATTCTCAAGACATTTCTCACAAAAATGGAAAGAAAAAAAAGTAATTCTAGGATTTGCATGGAGCCACAAAAGACTCAAATATCCAAAGCAATTCCAAGCAAAAGGAGCAAAGTTGGAGACATCACACAACCTGATCTCAAAATTTGCTACGAATATTTCCAATTCAGAAGAGTATGGAATTGGCACAAAACAGGCATATGGATCAATGGCACAAAACAGAGATCCAAGAAATAAGGTAACGTGTCTTCAGCCAATTGATCTTTGACAAAGGTGCCAATAACCTGCAATGGGGAAACGGCAGTCTCTTCAATAAATGATGTTAGAAAAACTGGCTATCCACATGAATCCTTAATTTCACCCCATATACAAAAATCAACTTAAAATGGGTAAAATAAACATTAATAAAAAGATAAAATTACTAGAAGAGAACATACGAAAAGCTTCTTGACATTATTCTTGAAAAAGTATTTGGATACAATCCCCAAAGCACAGGCAAAAAAGGTTTGTACATTTTATGTATTGCAAGGGCTTTATATGAGTTTTAGTATTGGATAATGATTGACTCAGAGAATTAGGAAAAATCTTCCCTGTTTCCATATGCTGGAATAAATTGTGGAAAATTGATATTATTTCTTTCTTAAATATTAGGTAGAATTCACCAGTGAAATTATGTGGGTCTCAGGCTTTCTTTTTGGAATATTCTTAATTATTCAATTATATATATGTATATCCAAATAGATAATATATCCAAATTATCTATTTTTTGTGTGTGAGTTTTGGTAGCTTGGATCTTTGAAAGAATTGACCTATTTCATTTATATTACAAAATATATGGGCACATGATTTATTTATTTTCTCAGTTTTAAATTTATATGTGGCATTTTTTGAATCAATTTTTAAATTTTCAATAACCTTTTTGCTTTCTCATATATTTATATTTTATTTCTTTAAATATTTTAATAATGATTTTAATCAGTTTCTAATTCAAAACTGGTGGCTTTTGGTTATCTAAAACTATTGGTCATTTTAATTTATTTTGTTTGCTTTTATCTTATTTTTTGAAAATAGTTTGCCTACTTTAAATAATATTTAATATAAATTTAAATATAAGGTCTCCCTTTCTTGATGTGTCAAAATCCTTGAAGCCTAAATTGGCTATAACTCATAAGAAGAAGTCCCAAATTTTACTCTTTTTTAGTGTACCTAGATTAATTGAACCTGGATTTTCAGTAAATTAGCTACCCTAGCTTATGGACATCTAAAGGCTGAATTCCCAGATCATTATGCTGATATAGGCAGTTGTTTTCAGTCTAATTCCCTAATTTCGTATATCCTTACTTCTCACTCTAGTTTCTGCTTATAATTATCTTCAGCTGTCTGGAGAATCCATTTATTTCTTGCAAGCTAAAAATATGCATCATAAATATTTGTTTAGGGTGTCTCAAAATAGATTTTCTTAAATAATTTGATAAGCAAAATCTTACCTTCGTTAAAATGTAAACTACAGAAAATAAAACTAAATAATACGTAGTAGGAGGTAGGGACTAAACAAATACATTTAGAAAACAGATAGAACTGAGAGAAAAATTTATAAAGATGGCATGTTTACTACAGTCATGTTATATATATTTTGTTGTCCATACAGAGAAAATAGCTAAAAAACGAATTATAGATCTTCTTATAATTGTATGTCACAAGCTAGATATTACTTACACACTGAAATATATGAACTTTATTGCTACTAAAATATCTTTCAAAAAATGGAATTTCTGAATATTTCTTTGTTAGTTTTGTTCTTGCAGCTAGTTTATTTTTATTTTTTTGAGAAGTTCAGTATGACCATGCAAAGTAAAAGCTGATTTTACGATCAATCACCTATATTTTATCATGAAATAATTAGTCAATATTACACACACGAATTATTTAGAGTGATGAATCTCTACATATGTCAAGCAGTGATAGCATGTGACCTTCTCAGCTTGAAAGACATTTGTGTTAAGTATCAAGCAAATGTTATTAAAAATAAAAGTGGAGATTTTATGCTAGGTAAAATTTCTATAGCAAAGGAGATTACATAAATCAAATTATTTCAAAGGCTGTGATAGAGTCCTAAATAATAAATAACCTTACATCAATTAGGAAACTGGTAAATTTTGTATTTTTTGTGTTACCAAAATTCCCTAGAAAAGAAAACAAGACTTTCAGTAAAATTAATTTTCCCAATTTCAGTGTAAATTATAAAGTTTATGATCTAAATGAATATATTAAGTTGCATGTTTGAAAAACTTTAAAAATATGTTTGTAATAAAACTATACCTAAAAGAAATTGTTTATTTACATAAAATACACTATATTAAAGATATTATTTTATCATAATCGGGTGGCTACTGCAAGCCAACTTGGAAATTGTGTCCCAATTGTTTTCAAGTAAATGGCTGGAATTAGAAGGTCAAAACTGACTATAAAAGGATGATGCTTGGCCAGGCGCGGTGGCTCACGCCTGTAATCCCAGCACTTTGGGAGGCCGAGGCGGGCGGATCACGAGGTCAGGAGATCGAGACCATTCTGGCTAACACGGTGAAACCCCGTCTCTACTAAAAATACAAAAAATTAGCCGGGCGTGGTAGCGGGCGCCTGTAGTCCCAGCTACTCGGGAGGCTGAGGCAGGAGAATGGCGTGAACCCGGGAGGCGGAGCTTGCAGTGAGCCGAGATCGCGCCACTGCACTCCAGCCTGGGCGACAGAGCGAGACTCCGTCTCAAAAAAAAAAAAAAAAAAAAAAAAAAAAAAAAAAAAAAAGGATGATGCTTTTGTAATTGGAGAATTATTATCTTCAGTAGGAACAATTTTGTGTAAAGGATTTATCACTTTGTAAAGAGAATTACACCTCAGTGCTTTATAAAATACTTGCTTAGTTAGGAAAATGAAGAGGACAACAGAGCTTTATCTTCCATATTTTCTAGGGTAGAAAACATGATAAAAGTATGTTTAACTCTCCAATTAATAAAATGTGATCAATCATAAATATATATATATGAACATGTTCTTTGTAAAATTTCATGTATTTCTTGCCAATATTTATTTTTCAATTTGACTTCTAAGTAAAATTTATATTTTTATTTTTAAGAAGAAACATTGCAACAATATTTGGAAAGTTTGGTATGGTTAGATAGACATTAAATTCTACAGTTTTACTTGCCATCCGGCCGGATATTAAAATAACATTTAACTATGCATGTAGAGATGCCTGGGTTCGTCTAGGATGTTCATTACTTCATCTGTCATTTTATTCCATTAGTAAACAACCTGATAACGCTTTTTTTCAAAACCAGAGCAAGAATGTACTACATAGACGGCCTTCTAGGTTATGTTTCAATGTTTGTATTGGAAATAACTTTTTCCAACCAATAATTTAAGTAGAATTATACAAAGAATAAATATTAGTACAGATTGTAGCTCTGTTTCAATGTACTATATCCATGCTAATTAATATTATGGGTAGACGGCTTACAAACGATACACTAATATAAAAGCAATTCACATTAACTTTAAATTTATGACATTTCTCATAAATGTTCTGACTAAGAGATTTCTATAAATTTTTATAGTATTATGTAATGACTAGTCACCCATTTAATGCTTGTTGTTTTGGTTCAGATATGTCATATTAGAGAAGTCTCCTTGTTGATTGTCAAATATTTTCTCTCTGAAAGAAACTGAGATACAATTTTCTGGAAGGATAATCAGAATGATACATTTTTAATTCATTTATTTTAATTTTGTTATTAAATATAGAATGGTCAAGAATTTTGAAAGGTATTATAAATTTCAAATTAAATATACATAAAATTTACATAAAAAGCACGTAATAGGATCCATTATACACCAGAAACTGTCCCTAAATTCCAAGAAAATAAAAATGAACAGATATGAACTCTATTCTACAGAAACACAATGTACTGAAGTGAGGAGGCATATACACAATGCACTGTAACAAAAGGCAAATTCCTCGGGACACAGAGAAAAATGAGCATTTACAAGAGGAAAATATTATTCTCATTTGGGTGGTGTATATGTCTATAAGTATCATGGTGGGGTGGAGGAGGTGACTACTGAACTGTGTCTTGAAAGATTCATAATACATATGAATATGATAAAAGTGCATTCAGAAAAAAGCTAAGACATACCACAAGAACTTTGTGAGAGAATAGTGACAAAAACTGAATAATAGTGAAAGGCTTTAAAGATTAAAAATGCAAATTGTGTCATAGTATTAAGAAAAAATACAAATTTATTAAAAATAGGTACATGAAAAACATATACAGAATCATAGACTTTTAGCACATACCAAAATATACACAATAGCTTGCACATAGTCGGTACCAAATAATTGCTCAATAAAACAGATGAATTTATTTATTTTATTAGATTATATGGCTCTATGATCTTGAAACTTATTAAAGATTATGTACTTTTTAGGCACGAACTGAGATTGATTTGCTTTGTATACCTAGTAACCATTACTATCCCTGAAACATTAGAGTCCTTAAATAAATGTTTGCTAAAGATTGTTAAATGGATTAAAATTTGTGCTTGACTTATTGTGGAAGCTACTGTAGTTCAGCTAATGTAAGATAGAATATACACTGATTTGATTTTATGTAAATAAACCAATAAATCATTTGTAAGATTGCTGAAGAACATCCTCAATCTCTGTCCCAGAAAATTTTACTACCTTTTAAAAGAACACATTATTTTTGTGTAAAATATTATTAACCTTTAATCATGACGAGTTGAAAGAAGACATTTACATGGTGGTCTCTTGGGAAGCTGGGTAGACAATGTGTATCTGTAGAGGAGGATAAAACCCAGAACTCCTAGCAGTCTCTTGTTCTGACACTGTCTATATACTGTATTCCCCTTGCCCCTGTGGTTTTCCACGTATGAATTGAGTTTACATTGCTTGGACTATAATTGCTCATCCCTACCACAGTTACTTTATTAGTTTAGCTATACTATTGGGAAGATGATTTTTCATCATGGTTATACAAATTTGTTTATAAGCCTATTTAACTCAAATTTAAATTATGCTGCTGTGGGTAAAAATAGTAACAAGTACTTTTTCATGGATTTCTTCAGAGACTAACTAAAATGATCAATCAGCGTGTCCAAGAAAATATGAGAAAATTTATCTTTCAGAAATGTTTTGTATGAAATTCTCAAATGCTTCAAAGGCTTACAACTTTACATGAAATGATTAAAGACAGATTTAAAAACAAGAACAAAATCCACAATTATTATCCACATTACTTTTGAGTACTGTTAATACAGCCATTACAGAGACCTCCAGATAGAAGGAATGATAGTATCTAAATAATAGAAATAGGATGATTAAGTTGCATTTATTTAAAAACAAGTCTTTTTGGTTGGAAATAGGATGTATAAAAAAGCTCAATACCAAAATTTAGATGAGATGTACATTTATTGGAGAGAATAAAATTGTTGAGATAGTTTTTAACAACAAAAAAAAACCCGGAAAGCATACAAAACAAACAAATAAAAACCTGAATTAGAGCTTTGGACTTCCTCAAATCACATTATTTGTAGTGGATTGGTTGACTCCATTTTAAGATAGAGGAGACGAACAAGATGGCCGACTAGACACAGCCAGGAAGTGCCACTCCTCTCAAGAGAGGCCAAATTATTAGGTAAACCACCATAATTTGAACAGGTATTCAAGGAGAAAATGCTGAAAGTGGATGGAGAGGCAAGGTCGAAGCCAAGACTGAAGAGGCAGGAAGGTGGAAACCCTGACTTAGCTACCCAAATGCCAGGGCTAATTCCTGGCCCCAAACAATTCCAGTAAAGGACTGAATGAAGGAACTGAGGGATGGTTCACTCTTGCCATGAGCATTTGATTTTCTAGCTACAAGGGACCTTACGCGACCATGGATGTGTGAGCTGGCAGGGGGATCTCCCTGGGGAGCAGGCAGAGACAGACTTTGGACAGCACAGAGCCCAGGAGCTTTTGTGTGCTGGACTGCTGCAGGCAAGAGCAGCCATAGATGCCCATTCCCCAGGGATTTCCATTCTCCTCTGGGAGGCATGGACCCCTACTGACCTCCAAGCCAGGAGAGAGTTGGGCCAGCTTTCCTGCACGACTGGGGTGCATCTACTCTGCAAGCCCTTCTGCCTACCAGCCCTTCCCAGGGTCCATGCCTAGCTGCCCTGTAGGAGCAGGTGCATAGTGCAGCCCTGGAAGGTCAGCCTGAGTGTGTAGTTGCACCCACATATTTTCTTCATGACCCTGGAGCACACTGTATCCCCCAGTGGAGCAAGAACCCAAACCCAAGCCATGGGATATCCCAGTGTCCCCAGGGCTGTAGTGTGCAGCTTGGGAGTATGGAACCAAGATTTGTGGCTGGCACTCAAACAGAGAAAGAGCCCCCAATCTCAGAGCCATGAGAGGGGTGAGATGCACGGATTCCTGAGCTGGGGTAAGAGTGGAACATGCCTCCCTTCTCAGGTCCAGTCCAAAAAGCATGTGGCATATCTCCCTGCCACAGCTTCTGCCCAAGAAGACCATGTGGCTCAGAAAAACTAACAAAAGAAATGTGGGCACAGCACCAGCTATCAGAGGGAGCTCTCTCAAGTTTTACAAGCAGATCTGTTGAGGGAACCGTATCACTCCATATCACTGCAGAGCATATCTGTGAACTCAAGAAGTACAAAAAAGCCCTGTGACCAGGTATTAACCTAGCTACCAGTCATTACTGTTAAACCTCATTCACTGGATTGCCACCCAAACTACAACACCTAAATTTTATTCTGCTAATATATACAGCTGTGAAACCAAGTCAAAAATTTACCCACACATAAAGATTCTGTAAGAGCCCTGGGCCTCTAAAAGCATTCAGAAATTAAGCCAACTGACTATTCTCAACTTACACCACAGTTAAAGAAATGCCAACCCTCCCAGATGAGAAAGAATTAGCACAAGAACTCTGGCAATCCAAAAAGTCAGAGTGTACCCTCACTTCCAAATGATCCACTAGCTCCCCAGCAATGGTTTCTAACCAGTCTGAAATGACTGACATAACAGACACAGAATGCAGAATCTGTGGCCAGGAAACCCATTGAGATTCAGGAGAAAGTGAAATTCAGTGCAAGGAATTCAAATAATTTAGTAAAGCAATCCAAGAGCTGAATGATAAAGTAGCCATTTTCAGAAATAACCAAACTTAAATTCTAGAGCTGAAAAACTCACTATCAGAATTTTATCAAATAATCAGTAGTATTAGCAGCAGAATAGACCAAGCTGAGGAAATAATCTCAAAACTTGAAGACTTGTTCTTTAAGTCAACTCAGACAAAAATAAGGAAAAAAATGGGAAAAAAAAGTGACACCTCCAAGAATATGGGATTTTGTAAAGCGAAAAAATCTATGACTCATTGTCATTCCTGAGAGAGGAGAGAGAATACGCAACTTGGAAAATATATTTGAAGATACAGTTCATGAAAATTCCTCTTATCTCTTTAGGGAGATTTACATACAAATCCAAGAAACACGCAGAACCCCAGATAGATATGACATGAAATGACTACCTCCAAGGCACATAGTACAATATTCATCAAGGTCAACACTAAAGAAAAAAGTCTTAAAGGCAGGGTAAAGTCACATACAAGGAACTTCATCAGGCTAGCAGCAGACCTCTCAGCAGGTAGCTTACAAGTCAGAAGAGATTGGTAGCTTATTTTCAGCATCCTTAAAGAAAATAAATTTTAACCAATAATTTCATATCCCACCAAACTAAGCTTAAAAGTGAAGTGAAGCAAATGCTAAGGGAATATGTTTCAACTAGACTAGCCATACAAGAGGTCCTTAAGGGAGTGCTAAACATGGAAAAGAAAGAATGACAGTCATACCACAAAAGCTCATTTAACCACATAGCACACAGGCGCCATAAAGCAACCACATAATCAAGTCTACATAACAATCAGCTAGCAACATGATGACAGAATTAAAATCACAGATACCAATACTAACCTTGAATGTAAATGGGCTAAATGCTCCACTTAAGAGACACAGAGTGGCAGGCTGGATAAATGACCCAACCATCTGTTATCTTCAAGAGACCTATTTCACATTAAGAACAACCACAGGCTCACAGCAAAAGAATGGAGAAAGAGCTACCATGTGAACAGAAAGCAAAAAAGAGCAGAAGTTGCTATTCTTATATAAAATAGACTTTAAACCAATAAAAATTAAGAACAATGAAGGGCATTACATAATGATAAAGGGTACAATCAAACAAGAAACCTTAACTGTACTAAATATATATACACTCAATATTGGAGCACCCAGATTCATAAAACAAGTTCTTCATTGCCCATGAAAACACTTAGACAACCAAACAATAACAGCAGGAGACTTCACCACCCCACTGACAGCACTAAACAGATCATTAAGGAAGAAAACTAACAAACTCTGGACATAAACTCAACACTTTAACAATTGGACCTAATAGACATCTACAAAATACCCCAGGTAATATCCACAGAATATATATTCTTCCCATCTGCACATGGAACATATTCTAAGATCAACCACGTGCTTAATCATAAAGCAAGTCTCAATAAATTCAAAAAATTGAAATTATACCAAGCAAACTCTTGGACCACAGTGAAATAAAAATAGAAATCAAAATCAAGAAGACCTCTCAAAACTACACAAATATAGGGAAATTAAACAACTTACTCCTGAATAACTCTTAGGTGAACATCAAAATAAAGGTAGATTTAAGAAAAATTCTTTGAAATATTGAAAACAGGAATATGACTTACCAAAATCTTTGAGATGCAGCCAAAGCAGTGTTAAGAGGAAAGTTTATTTCCCTAAATGCAGTAATCGAGAAGTTAGAAAGATCTCAATTTAGCAATCTAACTTTGCACCTAAAGGAACTAGAAAAGAAAAAGCTAGCAGAAGAAAAAAATAACTAAAATTAGAGAACTTACTGAAATTGAGATAGAAAAATCCATAGAAAAAATAATAAAAAAGCAAGAGTTTGTTCTTTGAAAAGATGAACAAGATGGATAGACTGCTATTTAACAGCTAGATTTACAATGAAAAAAAGAGAAGATAAGTATAGTCAGAAATAACAAAGATAATATAACTGATCCCACAGAATTACAAAAGTTTCCCATAGAATACCATGAACAACTCTATGCATACAAATTAGAAAATCTGTAGATGAAATTGATAAATTCTTAGAAACAGACAGTCTCTAATTGAATCAGGAAAAGATTGAAGCATTGAATAGTGAAATATCTCACTCTGAAATTGAATCATATGTAATAAAAAAAAACTACCACCAACCAAAAAAGTCCTAGACCAGATGGATTCACAGTCAAATTCTACCAGATATACAAAGAAAAACTGGTACGAATTCTACTGAAGCTATTACAAAAAAAGGAGGGAATCCTTTCAAACTCAATCTCTGGCAGAAACACAATGAAGAAAGAAAACTTGAGGCCAATGTCCATGATGAACACAGACAAAAAATTCTCAACAAAATATTGATAAACTGAATCCAGCAGCATATAAAACAGTTAATTCACCACGATAAAGTAGGCTTTATTCCTGGGATGCAAGGTTGGATCAACATATGCAAATCAATAAATATGATTCGCCACATAAGCAGATTTAAACACAAAAACTATCTGATCATCTCAAAAAATGCAGAAAAACTTCAATAAAATTCAACATCACTTCATGATAAAAACCCTCAACAAACTAGACATCAAAATAATATGACTCAAAATAATAAGAGTCGTCTATAGCAAACCCAGAGCCAACATTATACTGAATGGGCAAAAGCTGGAAACATTCCCCTGGAGAACTGAAAAAAAGGCAAGCACTCTGACCATTTCATATTCAACGTAGTAGTGGAAGTCAGAGCCAGAGCAATCAAGCAGGAGAAAGGCTACTGGAACTAATAAATGATTTTAGCAAAGTTCCATGATACAAAATCAATGTAGAAAACATCAGTACCATTTATATGTGCCAATAACATCCAGGCTGAGAGTCATATTAAGAACACAATCACATTTACAATAACCACAAAGAAAATGAAACAGCTGAGAGTACAGGTAACCAAGAAGGTGAAAAATCTCTACAAGGAGAACTAGAAAACAATGCTGAAAGAAATCAGGTGACATAAATAAGTGGGAAAACATTCCATACTCATGGAATGTTTTAATGTTTCATAGAAATGAAAAATCAATATCACTGAAATGGCCATACTGCCCAAAGCAATTTACAGATGCAATGCTATTCCTATCAACCTATCATAGAATTAGAAAAACTATTCTAAAATTTATGTGGAACCAAAAAAGAGCCCAAATAGCCAATGCAAACCTAAGCAAAAAGAACAAAGCTGGAGGCCTTACACTATCAACTTCAAACAATAAGGCTACAGTGAAAAAACAGCATAGTACTGATACAAAAACAGACACATAGACTAATGGAACAGAATAGAAAGCTAAAATATAAAGCTGCTCACTTACAACCATCTGATTTTCGACAAGGTCAATGAAAACAAGCAATAGGGAAAGGATTTGCCATTTGATAAATGTTTCAGGTTAACTGGCTTGCCATAAGCAGAAAAATGAAACCAAATTCTTATCTTTCACTAATACAAATATTTACTCAAGATGGATTAAATATTTAAATGTAAGATCTCAAACTATAAAAGCACTAGAGTAAAACCTAGGAAATACTCATGTCAGCACTGGCCTTGGCAAATAATTTTTGGCTAAGTCCCCAAGCAATTGCAACAAAAACAAAAATTGACAAGTGATACCTAATTAAACTAAACAGCTTCTGCACAGCAACAGAATAAGCAGACAACCTATGGAATGGGAGAAAATATTCATTAACTATGTATCTGTATTAGTCTGTTTTTACACTGCTTATAAAGCATTACTTGAGACTGAGTAATTTATTTAAAAAAAAAAAAGATGAGGTTTAATTGACTCCCAGTTCCCCATGGCTGGATAGGACTCAGGAAACTTACAGTTATGGCAAAAGGTCAAGGGGAAGAAGGCACTTCTTACCTGGTGGTAGGAGACAGAGAGCAAGAAAACAAGGAAGTGCCACACTTTAAAACCATCAGCTGTTGTGAGAATTC